>NC_000015.10:87653399-87804914 GCF_000001405.40 Homo sapiens | reverse complement strand
TTGTCACTCACTTCCACTCTACACCCATCCATCAATCATACAAACATACATCTAGATTCTTTCCAACCTATCAGCCCCCAACACACACACACACACACACAAACACACACTCATATATACTCCAAAACACACATACCAGCTCTGGCACACCAGCAAATTTTAGGAACTCATCATTTCCCCCTGCTGTAGCTCTTATTTCCACAACTCCCTTAGAATTTCTTTAAAGGTTTCTCAATTTGGAAAATGTTTGTCTAGGCAGACACCTGGCTTTCCTCCACAGCAGATCCATATATGCCAAGGAAAAGGAATCACTGCTGTTCACAACTTTATTCAAGCCTCTCCCTAAGCAAGACTGAAATGGTAATGTGAAGACAATTTGTGGGTTAAGCCTGTAGGCAGCTAGGCAATTTCTTCATTGTCAAGGGCACCTTTTATTATTTTTTCCACATAGACCCCATACCTTAAAGTATTTTGTCTAATGAGCCACCCGCATGTATAACTAATAGTGTTTCTCCTTTCTTATTCATCAAAGACACACGTCATCCACTTCCAATTTTAGATCAATGCCTAATAACTAAAGCTACACAATAAATGGATAGGATTTGGCCAAAAAGCTAAGCAACTTGACATTTTAGTTAGCCTATGCAGCCTTATCTAGAATAATATACAATTTCTGCCAGGCTTTTGGAAATATTGAAAATAGCTCAAAGACTTCCACGATTCCCTTCATGGATTCCCCACAGATCTGGAGACCCCAGGTTGGAAACTGCTGAACTAAATCTTTGACCATCTTCTGGGGTGAGTAACAATGTAAAATCGGAATAGGAATGGGGAAAAATAAAAGGATGTGATTAATTTTAGAACCTATGAGCCTTCTGGGAGGTAGGTAGGCTGGCTGAAAAATCTGTGCTGGATTTTTCTTGTAAATTCTAATGCCTCCACAGTGAATGGGAATTTATTCACCAGGCTCTACTACAACACTGGGTTTGTGAACCTTGCTTCATTCTAATTAGAGGAGGAGAATAGATTGCCTGACCTCTTGTGAGCAAAGAAGGGTGGTCCAGGGTCTGGCTGGCCATTAGCAAAGAGAAACCCTACTATTAATGAGTAAGAGCATGGGGGCTGAGCTCAAGACCTGAGTTCTAGTCAAGGCATGTGGGGAGAGAAAAGGCTGTGTGAAATCTGAATAGTGGCTGAGTCTCAGTTTGGAAGTGTGGCATGTGTGGACTGGAAGAGAGGAAAATCTCATCCAGTCAAAATGATCCCTGTCACAAATGGGTAAAGTGAGACTCAGAGACTGAAGCAAATTGTTCAAGGAATCATGCCAGAGATGGCTAGAACCCAAATCTATGGATTCCTTGATTCTTGGAAAACACCCACTGAAGGGAGATGAGGGCAGGAATTTGATATCCACTGCTAGGCTTTGTATGAATTTCTGAAGAAAAGTCCTTGGACAGTTCTTCATTCCCTACAGTGAATTACAGACATCAGTTTCTGCAGCTATGGTGCTTGATTCATGCTTCTTTTAAATATGGGAACCTAAAAGAGGTTGAAAGAGCCTGGACCTTCCCTGGAGACAGAACAGTCCAGCAGAGTTACCCAGGGCTAGAACTGGATATCACTAGCCCTCCAAGAGAGTCCTGGCTGCTGAAGAAGGTGCAGATAGAAAACAAGATGAGGATTCCTGGGGAAGGATGGTGAGTTGAGAGTCAGATGTTGTTGGCAATGCTGTTCAGCTCCCCAAATAAGGTGAATACTCCCCAAGAGGAAGAGGAAGCCTTTCACATCTTCTTGCACACTGCTAACAATTCATGGCCTCCCCAGTATGGGAATATATTAAGAAGGTAAAATTTTCCTGAGAAGGACATAGCTAGTGGGTTATTTATCATGGGTTTATCCGGCTAACAAGAATTTAGAGTGCAACTGGGTCATGATTCCCACTTTAGAAACAGTAAAAATGAGACTCAGAAGTAACTGAGAAGACATTTGTATGTTTCCATGTTAGTTAGTGTTATGCAGAGGAAGACAGAGAGAGAGAGAGAGCAAGCACATGATTATGGAGGCTGAGAAGTCCCATGACATGATCTGGAGACCCAAGAAACCTGGTGTTGTAATTCAGTATGAGTCCAAAAGTCTGAAAACCAGAGGAGCTGATCATGTAAGTTCCAGCCCAAGAGCCAGAGAAGATGAGATAGAATGTCCCAGCTCAAGCAGTGAGGCAGGAAAAGAGGCCAATTCCTTCTTCTTCCACCTCTACCTTTTGTTGTATTCATGCTTTTAACAGATTGGATGATGCCCACCCCACTGGGGAGGGAAGCCCACCAATGTAAATGCTAAAAACAACCTCACCCACATACACACCCATACACATTGTTTAATTGAGGCACCCCCATAGCCCACTCTAGTTGACACATAAAGTTAACCATCATGGTCCCCAAGGGCCACGGGGACTCCAGGGAGTAGAACCTCCTCTCTCTTCAACAGTTATAATTTGAGCATCCATCCCTAGCAGGTCTAAAGACAGTCAATGCATCAGAGCATTAGATTGGCATCGTGAATTGCATCTTTTGTTTCGGTTCCCTCATCTCACAGGGACCAGATACTCTTGGAATCTTGGAGTTTGTGAGGGTCTCAAGACTTCACACATTTCTTGAAAGCTAAATGTGTAGAAGGACTCACCCTACACGGTGAACATTGGCGACATGTGGGGAGAGGGGGGAAAGACTATTAACTTTTATTTATGAACTCTGAATTATTTAATTTGTTACAGTAAAAAATGTGCTTTTGTAATAGAACTTTTTAAATTAAAAACAAATTTCTCCGCAGGAGATTTCTGTTCGGGTCCTGACCACAGAGTAAGCAGGGTGCCCCGGTAAGTTATTTAATCTACCTGAACCTCAATTTTCTCTTTGATAAGAAGGGAAAAGTAATATCCACCTCCTTATGCTCAATGGATGTTGCAAAGATCAAGCAGAAATCCTAGACATTATACATATGTAAACAAAATATTACTGCTATTGGGAGAACCCAAAATGGTAGAATTGCAAGGAACGTGATTGCATGGCTTCGGCTTCAGCTTCTCTTTGCTCATCCTTTTAATGGTCTGCCACGTTTCTCTAACCAGAGGGTTGTTTTCATTGACTTTACAAAGCTTTACATGCTTTATCTGGAAGGCTCCATGGAAGTTTAGAATGATGAGAGGTCACCGTCATACCCTTATGCTCCATTTATTTTGATTGGAGGGACCCAGAGAAAAGAAAACAATTTAAGATAAAAATGGCTGCAAGGAAGCTATCACACAGACTGACTCCAACAGGAAGGTTTTCCAATTGATTTGTAGTTTTGGATCAACATTTGCTTGGTGAAGTGAAATGGTCGTTCATGTTGTGGAAAACAAGATCAAAGGAGCATGGAGACCCAATGGCAGTGAATGCAGAGATGGAGAATTAACCCCAAGGAAACTTTGAATTCCATATTTTGACTGTACACCTTCCAGCTAATGACATAAAGAACCATAAACAAATACTGAACTGTAGTTTAAAAGATCTGTTTACACGGGAGTATGGGCTAGCAATTGCAAAAACTACTGTAAATATTTTTAAGGTTGAACAAAGATGTAAAATATATTATGGATAATGAGAGCTAGAGTTCTCAATGTCAGAGAAGGGAGTTACAAATATGGAAATGGAGAAGGCTAGAATAAATCCTGTGGTGTTGGATTGGAATTGGCAGTATCAGCATGAACTCACAACTTTTTATATACAGAGATATACTTAGAAATAAGTAGATGATGTAGACACGCCAACTAACTTCATGTGTACATCTTCAGGATGTGAGAGGAAACCGGAGTACCCAGAGAAACCCCATGCAGACAAGGGGAGAAAATGCAAACTACACACAGACACACAGATAAACACAGGGGGTATAACTGTGTGTTAATAGATATGGATATTTACATCTACATATACATATACACATGTGTGTATATATACATATATATTCACAAAACATGCACATATATATACACATTTCCTAGCCTTGTCCAATGAGAGACCCCTGTAGCAATGAACATACCAAATGTCTAGATCTTTGCATCTAAGTATTATTCTTCAATAAAAGAAAGCAGAGCTTCTCAGGAAATGGCTCATTCCAGGACTGGGCAGGGAAGGTACAAGTGGAATCTAGAACATCTTGTGCCAAAAAGCATGGAAGTGCTCAAAGAATGATGGGGCAGGTCAAAAGAACAAAGGAGCAGGGGGCCAAATTAGAGTTGCCAGTGACCACATCTCGGACAATTTGAGAGGCAAAATAAATAATGCAGCCGATTAAAATTCATTGAATAAAATAAGACTTCATGAGTCTGTACTGATTGTAGGAGACAGAATAAAGGTCCCCCAAATTGTCCATGTCCTAATCCCTAGAACTTGTGAATATGTTGACCTGGTAAAAGGGACTTTGCAGACACGATCAATTTAAGGATTTTGAGTAAGAGATTTTTCTGGATTATCCAGGCAGGAACAATGTACTCACAAGAGTCCTTGTAAGTGAAAGAGGGAGGGAGGAGAGTCAGAGAAGGAGAAGTGATGATGAAGACAAAGGTTGGAGAGATGTGACTTCCCGAAGGGAGCCATGGGCCAAGGACTGTAGACAGCCTCTGGGAGCTGAAAAAGGCAAGAAATGGCTTCTCCCTAGAGCCTGCAGAAGGCATGCAGGCCTGCTGATGCCTTGAGTTTAGCCCAATAAGACTCTGTACTTTTGACTTCTAGAACTTTAAGATAATCCATTTGTGTGGTTTTAATCACTATGTTTTTGGTGATTTGTGCTGATGTGTGTGTGTGTGTATGTGTGCATATGCATGTTTTTATGTGTATCAGTATATTTATACATTGTATTAGACACACCCACATACCGATGTTAAGCCCTCATTTAACAATGTCAACAGATTCTTGGATATTGTGACTTTAGGTAAAACGTCATGTAATGAAACCAATTTTACTATAGGCTAATTGATATAAACAAGAGTTAATTTTTTATGGCATGTTTCTAGTCACAGAAACATTGTCAAACTTCTAAAGACCCCAAACACAAGTAATATTAAACATTGGAGTGAATGTGAGCCATACATGCATTTAAGAAAGACTAATAAAAAACAAGTAAGATAATGATTTACCTGATTATTCCGGTTCAGGGTTGTGGATGACCAGACCCTATCCCAGCAGCTCAGAGTGCAAGGAAGGAACCTTGAGCACCCTGTGATGGGGTGGCCTCCTGACTCATCATAGGGTACACTCACACCCACACCCAGACTCTCTCAGACTGGGATGGTGTAGATAGACAAACTAACTTCATGTGTACATCTTCAGGATGTGGGAGGAAACCAGAGTACCCAGAGAAAACCCATGCAGATGTGGGGAGAAAATGCAAACTCCACACACACAGTGGCCCCACTGGGAAGCGATCGTTTTTTTCTCATCAATGTTACAATAAAACAATGTTGAACAAAACGATGGTATTCGAGGACCTGCTGTATACATAAATAATGAAGAACAGAAAGCTCTTTTCTTACAGTAGAATTCCAGGTAATAAATAGAGAATGATGAAATTAGAAAATTACCATTTGGCAACCACCTAGAGAAATAATTTTTTCAGGCAAGACTCATTAATGGGTGCTAAATTTAATTAGTGAAATTTTGATGAGAAATAGAATGTCTACATAGTCTCAGAGTACCTCTTTACCAAGCATTTAAAAATTACAAGAAGAAAAATCATACCTTCGTAGTAGAGACAGCTAAGAGATACCACCTTAGCCAAGTGATCAAAGTTAACATCACAATCCTGGGACAATAGTCTATTACATGCCTCCTGATATGATGTCCTGAGAACACAGCATCATTTCTATGCTACTTCACCAAAAATGCACAACTTGAACCAAATCATAAAGAAACATTAGACAACCCTGCATTGAGGGACTATCTACCAAACAACTGGCCTGTGCTCTTAAAGATATGAAGGTCATGAAAGACAAAGAAAGATCGAGGAACTCTTTCAGGTTAAAGAAGACTAAAAAGACATAACAACTAAAAGCAATGTGGGTCCCTAGTTTGGATTCTGGATCCATTTTTTTTTCTTTTGCTACAAAGGACACTAGTGGGATAATTGACTAAATTTGGCTATGGTCTGTAAATTAGATAATACTCCATTAACATTAGTTCGCTGGTTTTGAGAATGGTACGACGGTTATATAAGAGAATGCCTTTGCATTGATAAAATACATACAGAAGTACTTAAATGTAAAGGAGCCTCATGTCTGCAAATTACTCCCAAAGGCTTTAGAATATGTTGTATGTACATGATAAAGCCACGGTAGTAAAATTTTAAAATTGGGGGAATTTGAGTGAAAAGTATACGTCAATTATTTGCAGTGTTTTTGTAGTGCTTCTGTCAATCTAAAATTATTTCAAAATATAAAGATGTTTTTAAAAGACATGAAGATGAGCTGAACAGCATCTGCTCAGAGCTGAGTTTAGAGGCAGTGACAGATACATTTGGCTTGAGGATGCAGGCACAGCTAGACTAGAGATCTGCATGAGGACAGGAGCTATGTCTTATCACTACTGTATCCTGAGGGCCATGCATATCAGGAATAAATATTCATTGAATACAGGGAAGAAGGAAGGTGGGCAGGGATTTGGGAAGGACCTTCCTTTTTAGGCTGCATGTGGGCAGAACGTGGCCACCTTCATCTTCAGGCTTGCTTTCTGAACATCACTTGCATGGATTATATCCAGCCTCAAGATTGTCCATTCCTTTCAGCTTTGGCTCACCTGGAGCTTTATCAAGTGACTGGCCCTGCTCCTGAATATTTGCCCCACTCTGCAACACTGAAAAGGGACTGGTACTGTCTATTCAGAGAATCTTCTAATCACCTGGCAATGCAAGATATCAGCATCACTTATTAAATTTATAACCTAAAGTGTCATATAGAAAAACTTGCAGGGAAGTTTGAAGAGAGAAATTTGGAAACCTTCAGTCTGGAGGAGGTTTCACATAGTAAGGTCAAAAAATCACCAAAGAACTTGCTTACTCAGAAAACTGTCTAAAATAGAACTGCTTAATTCCAAGTCAAATATTCATTAATTCAGCTATTGATTGATTGAGGGATCACTATTCAGCAGTTCAGCAATACCTCACCGAACACCCACAGGGTGTGGAAGGAAACGAACGTTTATTGAGGACCTACTATGTGCCAGATCCAAACAGGGTGATATAAATGCTTCATTTAATCTTTCTAGACACTAGTTTCTCCTTCTCCTCCCCACTCTAGCCTCCTCCTCCATCTTCTTCAATTGTTTGAACACTCACTGTGGGCCAGGCTATTTGCTAAAATATTTACATTCTTGATATTGCTTGATTCTCACAATAACCCCATGAGTAGGTATAAGTATAATCCCTTTTCAGGAGATGAGGAAAACACCACCAAACTTGCCTAGAGTTGCAAAACTAGTAAGAGTCACACATTTTCTCTGAGATTCATGGGAATTTCAGTTCTGTGACTTTTAAAATAATGAATGAAGATGGTGTGTTCAAGAAATTAACTGACAGAAAGGCTGCACACTACAAACTCACATTTAGTAAAGGTCATCTAATTTGTTTTTTTCAGTGTGAGGGTGTACGTTCTAAGAATGCCTGAATCACACAGTTAGAATTGCACAGAGGACTTACATTTACCTTCAGTCAATGTTTTCGATCTCTCTTGTCTTTCTGGCATCTTCTGAAAGGGGTGACTGTTCAGATCGTCCATTGCAAATGAGATCACCCCCTCCCCACTGCACCCGTCTGTCAACTCTGGGTACTAGAAGAGAATATTCAGACTTCCTTTTCAACTCAAGTAAATCGAATACATTAGGATTATTAAGTACCTACTACATGCCAAAGCCTGTGCTGAGCTCAGGAAGCACAAAAGCAAATGAAACCTTGCCTTCAAGGATTTTCCCAAGTTGGTCATAGCTCTGTATATAAATAACAGTGTGAGAAGAGTGAATAAATAGAAACATACATAATGTGATTTTTTAGAAAGCAATTATTTTAACTATGGCCTTTATAACAACATGAAGAGTAATTGAGAAAATCTCTATGATATGGTATGAATCAGAAAAATGTATTAACAGTTAACAGTTATAGTTATATACAAGAAATACGGACAGCAAACAATGTGCAATGTACAAATATACTTAAAATGTATCTCTGGGGCTGGCACAGTGGCTGACGTCAGTAATCCCAGTGCTTTGGGAGGCTGAGGAGGGAGGATCGCTTGAGGCCAGGAATTTGAGACCAACCTGGGCAACATAGCAAGACAGGAGGATCGCTTCAGCCTAGAAATTCAAGCCTTCAGTGAGCTATGATCACGTCACTGCACTCCAGCCTGGGCAACAGAGCTAGACTCTGTTTCAAAACAAAACAACACAAATGTAGCTCTGGCGTTCATTACAGATATCGTTCTTACTACCTCAGTGAGGAAGCCTTTACCCAGGATAATGTTTTCTGATTCTCACCTGAATCCTCCTCATCCTACTATTCATCCTCCTCTTTCTTCTTTCCGTTATTTCTTTCTCACTCATTGATTGATCTCTTAGACTATTCTGTGTTTAACTTCTTCTTTTAAAAATTCTTTTGATGACAGAACTGACATACTAATAGCTGAGTACTCTCATTCTCTATGTCTACAATTGTTTAGTATTTGAAGTACAGATTCTTTCTCTTTGGTGATTCCTGTTGACCAGGAGTTTCAATTCTACTTAGATTTTTTTCTTTAAAGAGTGCATGGCACCATAGGACAGATACTGAGAAAAGCCAACAAAAAATGCACATAGCGTGCTGTTCTAATAAATTGCTTTTTGGTGAGGCGTTTCGGAAGAATCTATGGAGACCACCTGCGCCTTGATGATTCCAGAGTGTTTAAATTTCATTTAATACACAGCTATATGGAAACTTGATACTGCCTCAAATGAAGGAGAAATATGTCTATGGGTTATATGGATATGTGAGTAATATTTATTGATTCCCTGTAATTTTCCAAGTACTATGTGTAAGCTCTTTATCCATGTCATAATATTATTCCTCATGACAATACTATGACATTTTATTATCTTTCAGATAGGAGACTAAAGCTTAAAGAGATTAATAGGCTCCAAGTCATACAGATGGTCACTGGTAGTTTGAATGAGAATCCAGACATGTCAGGCTAAACCCCTAAAAAAACAGTCCACTACAGTAATAATTACCAGACTTTATATTTAGGAGATCTGGGGTAGAGTTCTGAATTTGCATTTTTAATTAATGCTTATCCCAGTTTCCCCAGAACTGAGGGGGTTCCTAAAATGCAGGACTTTCAGGATTAAAGCCAGAAAAGCACTGGGTAAACTGGGATGAGTTGATCACTCTACTTTTTTTTTGTTTGTTTGTTTGTTTCTGTTTCTGTTTCTGTTTCTGTTTTTGTTTTTGTTTTGAGATGAAGTCTCGTTCTTTCACCCAGGCTGGAGTACAGTGGTGCGATCTGGGCTCACTGCAACCTCCGCATCCCAGTTTCAAGTGATTCTCCTGCCTCAGCCTCCCGAGTAGCTGGGATTACAGGCATGTGCCACCACACCTGACTAATTTTTGTGTTTTTAGTAGAGGCGGGGTTTTGCCATGTTTGCCAGGCTGGTCCCAAACTCCTGACCTCAAGCAATCCACCCACCTCAGCCTCCCAAAGTGTTGGGATTACAGGCATGTGCCACCAGCCCAGGTTACTTGGGAGACTTTGATTCCTTATGGTTGAAGGGACAGAGGAGGAGGAGATTCTGTGAGTGGCAGTTACCCAATCTCCGCTCATCTACAGCACTAGAGATGCGGTATGCTTCTGAGATGCTTGTGCAGACTCTACACCACATGCTGTAGACTTGAATCCTGCAAAGGGATTCTTTTGTGGTCAGTAGAGAAGAGATTTGTGGAGGTCACCTTTGAAGCCTGCTCAAAATAGGACTGACTGACAACCTCGTATATGGGGGAGGAGTAGTGTTGACAATGGCATTGTGCAGCAGAGGAAGCAAATATAATGTCAGTGACCACCATGGAGCAAGAATTGGGCTTCTTTCTCACTTCTTAGAGATACCTGAGCTCAGGAAGAAAAAGTTCAACAACTTTATAGTTAGCTGGCTAGTCTCTCCAGCCTTATCAAGTGTGGGTTCAGAGTTGGCTTTGCTCTGAGAGTCAATACGACACCATTTAATATCGGATTAAATTCCAGCTCTGCCACTTTACTAGCTATATAACCTTGGGCAAGTTACCTAATCTCTCTGCACTTCGGTGTCCTCCATAAAAAGAGACTGTCTCATAGGGTTGTGGTATAAAACAAATAAATTCATATTTGAAAAGTACTCAGAACATTGCCTGACACATTGTAAGCCCTATATAAGTGTTTGTTAAATTAATTTAGGGAAAAAAATGTGCTATCTCTTAGGAAACAAATTTATATCCATGAAATCATAGTAAAGCTATTGAATTTGTGACTAGAAGGTCATTGGTGACCTTAATGCATTGCAGAGGCAAATTGCAATGAGTTAAGAAGGAAAGAATCATAAACAATAGAGGCCCCTTTTATATATTACACATTGAATGGCTGGTAGGGAAAGGAAAGAAAAAGCAGAAGATCTAAATCACTGAGAGGTCGCAGAGGCTCCTATAGTGGTTCTCCTGTTGGAACTAAGGATTTTTCTTCCTTTTAGATCCCTTTTCTATTTGCCTGGCTTTCCAAATGAATAAAACCCCTTTGGGGGTATCCCAGTCCAGGACCGGGTAAGGGTAGAATCCAGCCACAATGTCCAGGATCTTGTTTGTATATATTAGCTCATGTGTTTACGGACTAGAACAAGAAATTGAACATACTTCACAGGCAAGTCACAAGGATTCTGCTTTCAAGGTCAGAAACACCGTTATCTTACTGATTTATGATTTTCACTGACAACAGACACTGGAAGATGGTCCTTCAATACCCAGGGCCTACACAAAGAGGACAGGAAGGAGACATCCTGGGAGGGACTTAGCTATGGGGTGGTAACCGGAAGATCTAGAGTGTCCTGGATACAAACAGCTGCCATTTGTTGGCCATGTATTGTTATGTGTGGTATAGCACAGGTAAGACTATTGTATACATATTATGTAACAATTATGTGTACATAAGTATGTATACATATTGTGATTTATCCTTGCCCAAAAGCCCATTTTTCCCATAGAGTAACTAAGTCTCAGGAAGGTTAAGTTACTTGTTCATGGCCACAATGAAGCACATGAGCTGCAGCTGGGATTTTTTTTTATTGCCAACTTCTATATTATACACTCCAGTCTCCACAATTTCCAAACTGTGATCAATTCACTGGTGTTGGGCTGGCCACACAAGAGGCTCATAGGAAACAAACTACATATACATTAATTCCCAGTGATTTCTTATTAGTAGACCGAGGAGGGACCCAAGAATCTGTGATTTTAAAAGTTGTCAGGCTGATTCAGTTGTGCAGTCTGATTGGAGAAGATCTGTGTTTGGCTACCTGGGCTGTTCCCAAATTATTTTTGGTCTCTCCAACTTCAGCAAAAAGGAAGAAAGGGAGGGAGAGAGGAAGGAGCCACAGCAGCCAAAATTTTCCATCTTTCCCTTCATCTCAGAGGAAGTAAAAGGAGGAGAAGAGAGGAACTGAGAAAGCCACATGGAGGAGGTAAAGGAAGCAGAGAATGGAAGTTCAAGACCTATACTTCCCTTTTCACCTGTTGTTATCAGCTTTTAAAGGCAGGCACAGATTCTGGGGCAGGGGTGGCTGAACCCACACAGGGGATGAGCCAAGGAAGGGCAGAGGTTTGGTGTGAGAGACAAAAGTGAATTTAATATTTCTGCAGGAGCCTAGAAACCTAAGTTCTGGTTGCAGCTCCAGCCGTGGGATTTGGGCAATCACCTATGAATCTTAGTCTCCACCAGTGTAGAGTGAAGAGGCCAGATTAGATGATCTCAAAGAGCCCTTTTATCACTGACATTCATGATTTCATTATCCTTTGATCCTGAGCCTCTCAGTCAGCAAGAAGGGCTGTGACTCTTCTGCTCAGACTCCAGGAAGATAGGAGAAAAAAAAAAAAAAAAAAGGAGGAGGCGGCAGAGGAAAGGAAAACAAACAGTCTCTGTTCCCTAGAGGGAGACCCTGCCTTGTCTGGGCAGATGAGCACCGGCCTGATGAGAGGGTGGGTGCTGGGCTGGGTGATGAAGGATCAACCAGCTGATATTTCTTTGGCGACAGAACTCTTCAGAGCTAAAGAAAAGTAATTGAACTTAATGTCCAAACACAAAACCAGTCCATAAATCCAGGTGCTGTCTATTGGAAATTTCATAAGGGCTCTGCTTCCCTTAATCTTATCTCTACCAGACAGTTAGTGTGTTCTTGATGTAATTAGAGTGATAAAACAATGTGGCACAACTGCTGGTTTCTATCGTGGCATCACCGCTGCTGACTTAAATGACAAGGTAATCATTTTATAAGATGCCCTTTATTTTTATTTCTCACTTCATTGTGGATGGGTGTTTTCCAAATGGGGGGGCATATCTTTCTAGATACATTTGCCAGACACCATATGCAAGGACTGCTTCATTCATTGCCCATTAGTCGAGAAGCTACATCTCCCAAGGGACAATTGAGATTGTTTTTGGTAGTTAAAATATAGGACCAGCTAGGGATGTTCAGAACTACAGACATTTTCTATAGATCTGGGTGATTTATACCTCTTTCAAAAGTAACCCTGAAGGGAGCAAGGCTGGCGTTTCACCAGAAGTAACGTAGACATGTTTGTCTTCTATAAGGAAGACTAGATTTGCCTCAGACCCTGTGCCCATGAGGTAGTTGTCCAAGTGAATATGTCAAAAGGCAGGCATTCCTGAACTTTTGGGGTCAGACCCAAAGAATGTAGAAAACAGTATTCCTAGACAGTGAGGAATCGAGATTGAAGATCCAAAACAAGTTTAGTTTAAAACCAAGAAGACATTCTGAGCTCAAGGGCAAACTCAAACTATCCTTTGAGATGCAAGAGCCCAAGGCCCATGACTGGGTCCAATTTACACTTCTCTGAGAAAGCAGTTTGGTGCGACCCCACATTCCCACCAAAGCAGTCAGATCCATGGTGACAAAGCCTAGGAGGTGAGACTTTAGCACTGGAGACCCCAACACTTTCCTGTCAAGAATACAATTTTATGCAGAAAAGCAATGTTTCTAATTATTTGATGATATGCCTGTGCAGGGCCCTTGATGAAACTGGATGGCTGCTGTGTGTTTTCAGGGGAGACTTTCTCTAGCTCCTCTATACCCTATTGGGTAGAGGGCTGGGATAGAGCCCTATGGCTTAGGAACATGAGCAGTCAGCAGTCTTTCTTCATTTGAATTCCCTTTATTTCAACCCTGAAAAAAATTTCAGTCTAACTCCATATGGGTGGCTCATTGCTTCTTCATTTCTCAAGAAAACTGGCAAGGAGGACTCTTTAACATGCCAGGGAGGTCTGAGAAAATGCTCAAAAAGTGCAGAGGGCCAGAGAGAAGTGGTGATTCAGCTTGGAGGGCTCAGCAAGGCAAATTATCCACCTAAACACAAGAGGACATACATTGCTCTTCCCTGATGGCCTTTTAAAGCTTACTATCTAGGAAGATGGCTTTTCATGGAGGAAGAAGCAGATGATCTCATAAAATCTATTCTCAGGAATAAAAGTAGTGAATAGGAAGCCAGCATGGCCACTAGTTACCATCTTTCATAGAAAGTCAGGACTTAACAGATAAAGGGCCAGGTCTCTACCAAATTTATACGATTCCAGGAACTTATTCTCTTCCCCTGTAAATTTCTGAAATTATTTATTGAACTCTTAAAAAAGAAAGGATTCATAGCCATGTCTTTGAGGAAAATCAAGAAGTAGAGAACTGAAGCTACCTCATCCCATTCTGTGGTCAGCCCCAAGGTCAGGCTGAGAAGCTCCAGAAGAGTTCACTGTGACCCTGGAGAAGAAAGACAAGAATGAAAGCCCTGGGGACAATGCAAAAGCAGGGATGGGAGTCCAGGAAACAGGCCCACATAGCAGAAGGATGTATGGAGCTCTGTCTGCTTCCCTGAAGCTGTTATTCATCCATTCCAGCCACTGAGAATCAATGTTCTCCTTCCTTCTTGTGACAGCCCTTTAACCATTGGCAAGATCCAGCAGGCTCCCGTGAGTCTCCTGGGGAAATGAAGCTTTCCAAGTTTTACTCAACGGGCAAAACTGCAAAAACATTGAATTACTCACTGTTCCTCTTGAACCTTATCAGGACACCTGTTTCATATACAAATTAGGGCTCAGAGGGAAAATACAGGTGGCTTAAACCCTGACTTATAATAATAATGAGAGCCATTTATTCAGTGCTTACCTTGTACCTGACAACAGCTAAATACCTTGCATATGTTCACTCATTTAGTTCTCTCTATAGCCTGATAAAGTGGTTACTATACTTCATTTATGAAGAAACTAAGATCCAAAGAGGTTAATTGATTAGCCCAAGGTTGCCCAGCTAGGGAGTGACAAAGTTGGGGTTTGCACTCATTTCTATATCTTATTTGGCCCTACATCAAGCTGCTATATCAGAGTAGTTTCTACTTTTGACACATAAGGCTACTGGAATTTGGGGATTTCAAATATTTGGCCTTTAAAACATTTTTCAAAACTTCTGTCATTTAGTTCTGAAATCACAGAATCCTGCCGTATCTAGGAAAGAGCGATTCGGAGCTTTCATAGGTGTGGCTGTTTGACCTAAATTGGGCCTTGATGCTTTTTCTTGCTAGAATTTACTTTAAACCCTTTATATATCTGCAAATCCTAGATCCTTCTTTCTCTGATCATTCCCTATTCTCTTTCCCATACTCCAAAGAAGACCTGACCTAGCTAGCTGAGGGCTGGGTCAGCTGATGTCCTTCTCTTTGCCCAGAGAGGCACCCTCTCTGCAAAGGCCAATCTCTTGACTGGTGGGTTTCGTTCCCAAATTCTACTCCTACCTTGCTCCTTTACTTAGTTCCCTCTTTCTAGTGTTTCCATCTGTGTCTGTTTAGGCATAGGTAATACAAACTGTGTCTCCTTGGTCTACAAACTTATGGACAAACTACCTCATCTTTGAAAAATTGATTTGAGTTTTCAAAATGTACTCTCTAGAGGACAAAAGAAAATCTGACATGAACAAATAATCATCAAAGATTATCAAGGAAGAGATAATTCTCATATCATCCAAATATCTTTGGGTGAAAAAAGGAGGAAAACTCCCAAATAATTTTTTTTATTACACTTTAAGTTTTAGGGTACATGTACACAACATGCAGGTTAGTTACTTATGTATACATGTGTCATGTTGGTGTGCTGCACCCATTAACTCATCATTTAACATTAGTTATATCTCCTAATGCTATCCCTCCCCCCTCCCCCCACTCACAACAGGTCCCAGTGTGTGATGTTCCCCTTCCTGTGTCCATGTGTTCTCATTGTTCAATTCCCACCTATGAGTGAGAACATGCAGTGTTTGGTTTTTTGTCCTTGTGATAGTTTGCTGAGAATGATGGTTTCCAGCTTCATCCATGTCCCTACAAAGGACATGAACTCATGCTTTTTTATGGCTGCATAGTATTCCATGGTGTATATGTGCCACATTTTCTTAATCCAGTCTATCATTGTTGGACATTTGGGTTGGTTCCAAGTCTTTGCTATTGTGAATAGTGCCGCAATAAACATACTTGTGCATGTGTCTTTATAGCAGCATGATTTATAGTCCTTTGGGTATATACCCAGTAATGGGATGGCTGGGTCAAATGGTATTTCTAGTTCTAGATCCCTGAGGAATCGCCACACTGACTTCTGCAATGAACTACAAACTACTGCTGAATGAAATAAAAGAGGATACAAACAAATGGAAGAACATTCCATGCTCATGGGTAGGAAGAATCAATATCATGAAAATGGCCATATTGCCCAAGGTAATTTATAGATTCAATGCCATCCCCATCAAGCTACCAATGACTTTCTTCACAGAATTGGAAAAATCTACTTTAAACTCCCAAATAATTTTTAACATTTTTAGAGAGCGAAAATCTGACAACGATAGTATAAGAAAGTTATTACCCAATCTCATTCAAGAACCCAGATGAAAAAGTCTTAAATACAGTCACAAATAATTTTGAAAATATAAAAAATGAAATAAAAATCAGGTTTTTCCTAAGGGTCCAAAGTTGGCTTAGCAATGGAAACTAATAATCTAATTAACCATATTACAGATTTGAATTTGAAATATCACACAGTTGTCTCAAGGGGTGCTGAAATAGAGTTTTTAAGAAATTTGAAAATCTATTGATGACTAAAATATATCATAGCACACTAAGAAAGAAAGGAATCTTCTTTAACATGATAAAGAGTGTCTGTCTAAAATATATTTACTAATGGTACTTAGAAGTGAGCCCATTAAACTCAGAGATAAATTCCAGGGTGTTCTTTCCTTACTGTTACTATGCAATATATACTGAAGGGCATGGCCAATGCTCAAAGACAAAATAAAGAAACGAGATATAAGGGTTAGAAAGAAAAATTGTATTATTTACAGATATCTCAAATGATTGTATGAAAATATGAGAATCTACTGAAAAATTAGAGTAGGTATAAAAGTGATGGATATAAGATCAAACAGTAAAGAATTCTACACCAATTAGATAATGTATTTTATTTAAAAAATAAATTCATAACAACCACAAGAACTATAAGATAACAAGGAGTAAACATCATAAAATATATGCAGAGAAAAATATGGAGAAAATTATAAAACTTTATTAAAAGGGCATAAAAGCCCGAGTAAACCCAGAAATATACCATGGTCATGAATGGGAAGGCCTAATATCATAAATATGTGACTTCATCGGATCACAATCTATGAATTCAATAAAATTATTTAAAACATTTATATAGTACTTTTCACAGAACATTACAAATTGATTGTAAAATTCATTTTGAAGTATATATGTTTAGGGGTAACTAAGCCAATTTTGAAGTCTAATAAGGAAGAGGGACTTGTAAAAAGGATTTTCCCTATCTAGTATCAATACTTACAAAGCCATGGCAATATTTTTAAGTTTATAATAAGACCAGAGTTGAGCAAAGTGGCTAATACTATAGAATCATTGAGTAGAACTTTTTGCAATGACAAGAATTCTCAATCTCATATGTAAAGATGTCCAGTATGGAAACCATTGCCTACATGGGGCTACTAAGAACTTGAAATGTGGCTTGTGTATCTAAAAAATAAAATGTTTGATATTATTTAATATTAATTAATTTAAGATTAAATAGCCACATGTGACTCATGGCTACCTATCATATTTGGTAGCATAGCTCTGCAATAGAGGCTTTACAAGCTGACAAAAAGAAATTTAGTAGCACAGTGTTAACTGAGGTTTTCCAAATCATTAGGGGAAAAGAAATTGACTGTATGTGGGGAAAAATATATATGCACAAATTTAAATCCCCATCTTATCCCATCTGCACAAATAAATTCCAGATAAAGACCTAAATTTAAAAATCAAAACTTTTATAAAATTGTTAGAGACAATATAGGAGAATGCCTTTCAGATTTTGATGTATGAAACAACTTCTTGAGCAGGACCAAAAAGTGCAAATCTTAAAGGCAAGAATTGATAAATTCAGCAATATTAAAATTCAAATCTTCCGCACAACAGAAAATGCTGTAAAATAGAGTGAGAATACAAGCCACACAACAAAAGAATATAATTGCTACCTATATAACTGACAAAAGATAATTACCGAAAATATACAAGCAACTACAAATCAATATGAAATAGCAAAAAATTCAGTAAAAAATATGGACAAAATATATGAGAAATGATATCTAGAAGAGGAAACCCAAATGGCCAACAAAAATTTGAAAAAAGATGTTTAACCTCCATAATAATAAGAAAATGCAAACTAAACCAAGAGCAGCATATTTTTTTTCATGCTCATCAGAGTGTCATTATAGTGGATATTTGTCAAACTTGTCCACGTAGCATCTAAACCCACTTCTTATGATTGGGGAATTCCCTCGCTTGGAGATAAAACCAGCCTTCTTCTAAAAAGCTGAAATGCCAGATGCTAGTGGTTCCAGCTTCTCTTGAAGCTTAGGGCATGGGCATGTGACCTGGACTGCACCAGTCAGAGGCTGCTGACTGTGAATAACTCTTCCAAGGGGTAATGATGGTGCTGGACCCACAGCAAGGTCACGAACAGGACATGCACTGTTGAGAGTGTCGGTGGTATAGCGGCAGTGATCTGGAGTTGATGGCAGCCTAGTATTGGTATCCTCACTGGACTGGATTTTGCATGTCATACCTGACTGTGTAGCGCTAAATCTAGTGCCTCAGTCCCCCTGTGTAATGGTTCTATAAATCTTCCAAAGTCCTTTACATATTTTTTTCCCTCCTTGAATCAACCAGAGTTTGTTTCTATTGAATGTAACATCCACTAACACCAAATGTTGGTGAGGATGTGGGATAATGGGATCTGTCACATACACTCTAGAGGGGCTAGGACGTTTGTTACAGACACTTTTTAAAGCAACTCATTAATACACGTGAAGATGAAGATACACATATCCTAGGACCCCAACTTTTTACTCCTGGAATCATACTGAATAGAATTTCTTACTCGGGTACACAGTAGAATGTGTATCAGGATTTCCATTGTTGTGGTGTTTTCAGTAGTGACAATTGGAAACAATTTTCATCAGACGGAAAATGGCTAAATCAAGGGTGGTATATGCAGATGCTGGATTTAACAGTAATGATAGTATATGAAATTGATCTATAAGCCTCGATATGTATGAATTTCACAAAAGTACTGACCCAAAAGGAAATCTGAATTGACACCAAGGACATGTCATTTATGCACATTTACAAAACATGTAAAACAATACTGTGTGTGGATTGTGGGAAAGTATAGAGGTATTTGTAAAAAGGACAATAACAATGAAAACAAATTTCAATAGAGCGATTGCCTCTGGGATGAGAAAGAGAGATATAAGACATCTCAATTTTTTTCATTAAAAAATACCTGAAGAAAATATAACACAACATTCATATTTTAAAATTCTGACTATTGGTCATATGGATACTGGTTATATTACTCTCCCTACTTTACTGTATATTTGAATTATTAAAGAAAACCCAAAGCTTTTAAATTTAAAAAATTTAAGATGCTTTTATTTCATTTTACTTCACCTGAAATAGTGATCACATATTTATTGGGTGTTTAGTATTTGGCAGACACAGCACTAATTATTTTATTTATGTGATCTCATGTAAGCCTTCATCCAACATTATGAGGTAGGCGAGCAGCTCATTCGAACCACCTGGAGATCTTAAAAAAGACTGATACCTGGACCCCATTCTTACAGATTATTCTGGTGAAACCTGGGCATTGGGAGTTTTTAAAGCACCTCCAGTAATTTTAATATGCAGCTAGGTGTAAGAATCCCTGAAATAGCTTATAAATATGTTTCCCAAATTCCACTTGATTAGAAGAATTACCAGAGGCTATTAAAAATGCAGCTTCCCAGGCCTCATCCCAGATCCACAAAATCAAAACCTCTAAGAGAGACTCCAGAATATTAGAATTTTTATTAAGTGCTTAAAATACCCTTATGGTCAGGCAAGTTTGAGAAACCTGAAGCTACTGTTTGCCCTTCTGAAACACATAGGTCAGCATGTGCCCATTCCCCTGAACCACGCCCCTCTCCTAGGGGTTCTAATTCAGGAGGTCTCATGTGGGATCTAGAAAACTATTTTCTTAAAAAAAAATAAGTCCCCTTGGATGACCAGCCATATTGATATATATGGGTACACAGACACTCAGGAATGTGAAGCACCAGGTCTGCCTGGTTCCAAAGCTCACGCGATTTTCCCCACTCATTCCGCACTCCCCTGGGCTTGGAGTCAGTTTCCCCAGGTTCTGTCTCTGCTGATCCTGGCTCACTTTCTCCTTTCTGTCAAGGTAGACTAGGATTAGAAACAAATGTGTACCCTTTTCTTCATGGGTAGGAACACAAGCTATAGAACTCATCCCCGTGGGGTAGGACTGGCGGCATCCCCACCTGGAAATAAGGCCCCAGCTCAGCAGGCTGCGGTGCAGGACACAGCTTCAGGAACCTGGGGTGCCAGGCAGGGAAACACAAACAGCACCTCAATGGGAATGCTGGACCTAATCTGTGCCCATGGAAGGAAAGTGGGACTCACGGAGCTGCTGTCAGTATTGATCCTGTCCTGATCCCTTTGGGCTCAGGCAATGTGTGTGTGTTTGTATGTTGGAGAGAGGGGAACAGCTTATGAGGCGCATGCTGATTCTGCAAAGCAAGAGTCCAGGAAAACCAGGGCACAGTGTCCTTTCTTTTCCAATTCTTATTTCTAATCCAAGCCCCTTTTTAATCACCAGATGACTCAACCTAATGGCAGATTTTCCAAAGTGTGTTCTGTAAAACATAAATCCCAACAGTGAATTCTTGAAATAAAGGAGGGGGGAGCTTCTGTTGGGAAATGCTGCAAATCATATCCCACTCTTAAGGATTTACAATGCTCATTAGCATTGAAAAGGCCCTTGAGCAGTCTTGCCTTCATCTGGTATCCTGCAGTAACAATGAGAGAGACCAGTGATGTATCCCATCTTTGTTACAGAAATGTCTTAAAACTTTGTAATTTTATTGCTTTTGAGAATGGATTTTGGAAAACAATATTATAAATATCACATCACCTCTCTGTTGAGACCATCAGTGAGCCCTGTTTTCTGCAGTAGTGGCTCCCAAATTTGGACACATGTCAAATTACCTTGAAAGCTTTATTTTAAAATATCCATGCCTGAGCTCCACCTCAGACCTATGTCATCAGATAGTTGGTGATTAGGGCCCAGCACTTATATATTCAGAAAATCTCCCAAGGTGATTTTGATAGACATCTGGTTTAGAACCATTGACACATAAAAGGAATTCTGAAGTTGGTTCTTGGCTCTGACCACATGCAAAACCCCAGTCTCTTTCTTCCTCTCTCTCCCTACTAAACACCACCGCACAGTATCTTCCCGCCTTCCCGTTATGCTACTCCCCTATGCGAATTGCTTTCTTCTATGTCCGTTTTTTTCTGAATAATACTTTTTCTTCCTAGACAGCTTAAGTGCTATCTCCTATGCAAGAAATTCCCAGATGGCCCCAGTGTCTGAAGATTGCCTCTTTTCTTCATCTTATATTTCCTATATGTGTAATGTGTTGTTCTGTCTTTTCCCTGGAGTTTCTTCTAATTACCCAACCAGGTCTCTGAAGCGAGGCCATATTGTGTACTGGTTAGGTACCTAGGCTTTAGACTGTGACAGTCCTGGCTCTGAGTTTGATCTCAGGTTGCAGTAGGACTCTTACCTCTTCTAAATCTCAGTTTCTCTGTGTGTAAAACTAATGAAAAAAAATACACCTGGAAGAATTGCTGTAAAGGGTATAATGAAATAATAACAATTCCTAATGCTTAGTAAGTGCTTGGTAGAAGTTGTACTAGTGATTGCTGGGTTTTGTTTTTTGGCTTTTTGTTTGTTTGTTTGTTTGTTTAGATGGAGTTTTGCTCTTGTTGCCCAGGCTGGAGTGCAATGGCACTATCTCGGCTCACTGCAACATCTGACTCCCAGGTTCAAGCGATTCTCCTGCCTCAACCTCCCGAGTAGCTGGGATTACAGGCATGTGCCACCACGCCCTGCGAATTTTTTATTTTTAGTAGAGATGGGGTTTCTCTATGTTGGTCAGGCCGGTCTTGAACTCCCAACCTCAGGTGATCCACCCACCTCGGCCTCCCAAAGTGCTGGGATTACAGGCTTGAGCCACCGTGCCTGGCTGATTGCTGTTTTTATAACCATTAGGATGTAAGTTTCTTAAGGGCAGGGATCTTTGTCCATTTTATTCATCAAAAATTCCCCTCCTTAAAAAAGTGTCTAGCAGAGTGTAGCTGCTCCGTGATGAATCAGTAATAAACTCACCTCTCTGAGTGCCTTCTATGTCTGTATCCTTGGGCCTTTGAATAGTACCTAAAAGAAGAGAAGGCCTTAAAACTGTTTCTTGATCCTGTTGATGATATCCAAGATATCCAAATTTCTTTGTTTGCCATCTTTTGGGACTAGGTTGCTATCCACCTGGAGTACCTCTGTTGTTTTTACCTGCCACAAATCCATTCTGTCTTTTACTGTTTTAGTGGGGAAACCCACTCACACCCTGGTTTTTAGAGGGAGTTCAGTAGGTGGCAGGCCATCGATGTATTGGCCAGTGATAACATTCAGTCTTCTCAGCTGGGCCAGATAGGGGCATTTGGTTGATGTCAGATCGTTAGAAACACAGTTCTGGAATTCCTTTGAAACTGCTGAGACAGCAAATTTCCCTTTTTTTGGGGGGGGGATTACTGGTAATACTAAAGTATTAGTATTAAAGTAGAGAATCCCCATCTCTACTAAATACTAATAATACTAATATTGTCAGTTTGAAATCCCAGGGACACTAGACACAAACAGCTCTCCTGAGGATACAACAACTGAGAAGAAAACGAAGCTTGGCAATGGAGAAAGTGACTAAGTGCTGATGACATTGTTTACACCCCTGGTTCCAGCTGTGCCTGAAGCCAACACTTACTCTGAAATTTTCAGTTACGCTTACTCTGAAATTTTCAGTTACAAGCCAACGACTTGCTCACAAGTTTCTTTGCTTAAGTCAGTTTGTGGTGAGTTCCTCTCACTTGCAGGGTATTCTGTAATACAGTGATCCTCAAAGTGTGGTCCTCAGATCAATTCACCTGAGAATTGTCTTGTCTAAGGCCTAGTCCAGGTGGCCCCCTCTTGAAACCATCTGAACCACAAGGCTATAGGGCTCTGATTTTTACTATAATGATGCCTACTGTAACCTGCCATATATTGTAATCACTTGCCTCCTGTCTTCTTTTGTTCGCAGAGTATGAGCTCTAGAGTCATGGATATTGTCTAATGTATCTTTGATTCCATCACTGCACCCAGAACAGGGGCTGAAAAGTTGTCTAGAATTGCTTAAGAATCCTGATTTATATTTTCAGGTGACCTCCTTTTTAAAAGTCCATTGCACAAGGCAGCACCTTCTTAATTAGAGCTGTTAGCACCCAAAAGTGTGTTTGCAGAGCTTGTCTCCCTTGGGTGATTTAAGGTTTTAACGTTCAGGGCCTTGTTAACAGCTCTTGTGAAGCGGTTGTCCTAGCTTCTAACATGGGTCACTATAATAGACGGCACAAGAGAAACATAATTCGAGACCTTGCTAATTGTTCTTGCCTCGCTGAGTTAGACATTACGTCTGCATATGACTGAAGGTCGATGGAATGAAACAGTCCCTCAAGGAAGCTAATAGAAAGTCAATTACTTTGGTCCTTTAAATTACTTTTGAAACAGACCCTTGCTGGGCCTTGCAGGAGGTAGCCTTCCATACTCATCTCTTGGGCGTGGATAAAGGGTCCCAAGGATCACTTTGGGACCTTGCCTGCCTCATGCTGGGCTAGGAAGCAACTTTCTTTTTAGCACCATAAACTGCCACATCATCTCCCCTGGCTGGAGCGCCCTGGCTTAGCCCTCACTTTGAATCTAACTCAACAGATGACCTTCATGTTTTGCAGGTAGGCTTCCCTTTAGCCAAGGTGGACAGGAGACTTGTCAGGGGTGTTCCAGAAGAGAGCAGGGCTCATCTGCACCTGGAAAGGATGCTCAGTCAAGCGCCCTGGCCAGAGGGGCTGTGCATCTGGGATCAACAGCAGGGGTGTCTCAGTTCTCCACCCCTGACACTGGGAATTGGCTCTGTGTCTCCCATCCAACGCAAGGCCCCATGGCTCAAGACTTACCCTGGGTCCAGAAAAGGCATGGCCTCTGCTGCTCTGCTGTCCTTACTCGTGTGTTTTAGTGCTGCTGAGCTGAGTGTGAACCGCTCCTTGTTTCAGCAAGCACTCTGGACACCCATCTTCTGTGTTTCAGAAAAATATACAAAGCAGTTTGGAAGTAAAATTGCAGCCCTTGGCAGAGAAGCTGTCATTACCCAGTCAGTGAAAAAGGAGGGGAACCATCCAGCGGTTCAAGGGCAGAGTGCTTAGCATCAGCTTGAGGGCCAACCCAAAAGGCCACAGCTTCTTATTAAGGATTGGCTGCTCTTGGGATACAAAATAATTTGCTTTCATTTCAGCCTGGTTGCAAACACTCCACCAACGTCTTTGCTTCTTTTCTCAGCCATTGATTTTTACTCACTTGGAGCCCATTAGGTATGTTCTTTTCTTTTTTTCTTGGAAAAAATAAGCGTGAGGACTATTCAGAAGCTCTGAAATGAGGGGCCATGCAGGGAAGTTGGAAAAACATGGAGGTAACTGAAACTGGTTGTAGAGGCGTGACAAATCTCGAGGCAGAAATGGGGGCAGGGCTCTGCTCTAGGCTTCTTGTGGTGAACTGGGGGCCTCCCCTGCTCCTGGATTATGACAGAGCCTCTCTCACATCCATACCCCCGAAGAGGGAGTTGGGCTCCTGGAGACCTCAAAGGTAATGGCTGAATGAAGTCTGCACAACCTCTTGCTCTCTCTGCTTCCTTTCGAAAAAAAAAAAAACAGGCAGCAAGAAACAGACCCACTGCAACCTCTCACCTCCTGCTCTGTGGTACATACTCTTTTCTGGGCCTTTCAGGTCAGGTTGGGCTGAGGACCCGAAAGGGTGGTCAACTCTAAGAAAGGGAGGCGCTCATCACCCCTTCATAATTATCCAGTGCATTGGGCTATTCTTTAGTGGCTGCCCGTGCACCCTTGGCTGCTATGTACATGTGTGTATATGTATGAGTACACATGTGTATATATATGTGTACACGTGTGGGTGTGAGTGTGAGATGAGGAGTCAAAGGAGTTTCTGAATGAGGAGAGTTCAGCCTCTACCTCATGGATCTGACTCCTGCCTTTTCTATCCCCTCTTCTTATTGGTGGTAATGAACTTTGCAGAATCCTTAACTCTTTTGCCGTCAGCTTGGGTCATCTTCACCTAGTGTAGCTTCTAGGTCCTTTCTGGGGCTCTGGGCATTTCAATCCCAGCATTTTGGTTTGACTGAACTGGGATTCTGAGGCTGACAGTGTTCCCTCTACCCCAGCCTACTGATGGCCTGCTGATGGACAAGGAGGTAATTGGCAGCAAAGCAGGAAGAAGACTGGTGGTGTTTTGTTTGTTTGTTTGTTTGTTTTGTGATGGAGTCTCCCTCTGTTGCCCAGGCTGGAGTGCAGTGATGCCATCTCAGCTCACTGCAACCTCTGCTTCCCGAATTCAAGTGATTCTCTTGCTCCAGCCTCCTAAGTAGCTGGAATTACAGGCACATGCCATGACACCCGGCTAATTTTTGTACTTTTAGTAGAGACGGGGTTTCACCATGTTGGCCACGCTGGTCTTGAACTCCTGACCTCGGCCTCCAACTCCTGCCTCGGCCTCCCAAAATGCATTTTGATTGAGAGTTAAAGGGCAAGAAGATGGGGAAGAGAGATCGGGGTTGAGGGATTGTCTTTCCTATCTGACCCTTTGGATGATTTGAACCCCCGTGTCGAAGGGGTGTAAGCCAAAAGTTGATGGACTCGGTCTGGAGGAGCCATGCAAGGATCTGAGGCTCAGTAGATGCTTTAGAGCTGAGGGTCCTCAGAATAGCTGGGTTGGTTTGGGCTGAGGCTGCAATTTCCCTGCAGGGACTTGTAAGCCAGGGCAGTCCTGACTCCCTGAGGATTCTTAATTTGGGGAGAACGGGGACATTGGGGTTCTCCTTGGCAGAGAGGCTGGTGCCACATGTAGTTTTTAGGCAGTGGAAATTGACAAGTGGGAGGTGAAGAAGGAGAAGAACAGGAAGGTAGGTCTGCAATCACAATAGCTATAGATGCCTTTGTGGACACATGTGGAATCTTTTGGGGACAGAAGATACTCTGATGGGTGGCATGTCCCTGTTTGGGCAGGAAAATGAGAACTTGGAACCACTGGAGTTTGAGCACTAATGCAAATGTATCTCCCACAGTGACGTGATAAGCTGGCCAGAGACTGAATATCCCTACCACTTGTAATGACCAAAACCAGAAAAGCTGGAGTCCCAAAGAGGACCAGTGCATCGGTCAGGGAGGAAGCAGAGGTGGGGTCTGTGGATGGCTTTGCCCGCAGGAGTGCCTGCTGCAGCTGAGGTGCTGCTGTCTACCCTGCACGGGCAACTTTCAGGGGCAGCCAGGAGGGGTCAGAGCTGAGGGGCTGGGCCTGGGACACTTCTTCCTGAAGGAGGTCACTGTGGGTGTGTGTGTGGGTGCGTGTGTGTGTGTGTGCGCGCGCGCGCGTGCACACAGGCAGCATTATTCTTTTATTTTACTCTTAAGTGTTGCAAATTTTAATAATAAAATAATTTCATTCTTAAGTGTCGCAAACCTAAGACAGGAAATAAAAACAGTTTTCACAGAAAAGCACACTGCTTTTTTAATTTAATTTTATTTTATTTTAAGATGGAGTCTTGCTCTGTCATGCAGACTGGAGTGCAGTGGCTTGATCTTGGCTCACTGCAACGTCTGCCTCCCACGCTCAAGTAATTCATTCTCCTGACTCAGCCTCCCAGTAGCTGGGATTACAGGTGCTGGGCACCACACCTGGCTAATTTTTGTATTTTTAGTAGAGATGGGTTTCACTGTGTTGGCCAGGTTGGTCTTGAACTCCTGACCTCGGGTGATCTGCCCACCTTAGCCTCCCAAAGTGCTGGGATTACAGGCATGAACCATCGTGCCCGGTCAGAAAAACACACTTCTTTTTTGTGCTCTGGTCTGAATTGCTTACATTTTGCATGTCATTCTTGACTCTGTTAAGTGGCTACTCTTCCATCCCAGCCATAACTCCCTTTTTTCAAATGTCCCTTTCTTCCCCATCTTATTTCTCCTTTTCTTCCCTCTCCTGCACAACCCCTTCCTCCTTCCCCCGAGGCGCACTAAAACTGTTTTGTTTGGGTTTGGTTTGTTGTCACAGTTGGTTTTCAGGGCACATTAGGAGAGTGGGTTATGGTTATGTAGGGCCGCTGTTAACAAGGATGGGGCAGCTGTCCATCTCACAGTCTTTTGCTCTTCTCTTGGAAAGCCCTGGTACTTAGGGACTGGCCCCTCATGGCCATGGCCATATTCCATGACCCTGTTCCATACCACAGCTGATTTCTCTGATGGGGCCAATCAGATTATCCCTGCCTTGGGACCATGAAACTTGGAACAGAGAATCTGAGAGTGGAGCTGAGGCATCCGAATGACAGCACTGGAGAAGGAAGTTTCATTGTAAATTCCTACTATCATAGCAGCTGCTGCAGCTGTGGGCTCATGTGCTGGGCTGGCAGAGGGGAAAGCACTCTCACTAAGCTCTACTAAACAGTGGAGATGCTGTACTACAGTGAACCATGCTTCACTAACAAACAGACAAGACAAGAAGTTTATTTGTTGCTTATCCATTGCATGATGGTTGGGTGGCTCTGTAGAGCTGATCTCCTCTAGGCAGTGACTCAGATTTTGGTGGTTTCCATTGGTGGACATGCCAGCTGGAAGGAGTGTTCAAAATTGCTTCAGCAGGGCAAGATGGGGGAGGAAATGCATCAGCTGTTCACCGCAGTGGCTCAGAAAGGTCACAGTAAAGTGTCACATGTCACTAGAGCTCCCATTTCATTTACCAGACAGGTCATGAACCGCCCTCCCCTGGGGAACCACAGAGGAATACATGACTATTCAGTGAGCATGACTTCTGTCCGCCTCATATAATATTTTGGAAGATGAGGAAAAAGGAAAAAGAAGCTGTTCTCTAAAATGCCAAAATTTTCATGTGATGAGAGTGCTTCTTGACATAAATATTTTAAGGCCAACAGAATCTTTAGAGTGAGGCTAGAGACAAGGTTAAAGATATTATATTGAATGAATTCAAATATGCTTTAGCAAAGGTGACCACTAGTATCCCTTCCTTATCCTTCTGGTCACTCAAAAGATGGGTCGACTGAACCCCTGCAGTTTCCCAATCCATAGAGCTGAGATTGGGGCACTGTGTGAAAACGGGTTGCAGGCTGTTTTTTAAGAAAAATTGCCTATCTGCTTCTGTAGACCCAGGAGGGAGTGTCTTGAATCACCAGGTAGCTGTCAGAACTTCAAGTGGGAGAGGAGGCAGGAACTGTAGGACAGGAGGGTGAGGTATGCAGGGAGAGTATTGGGGCGAGGAGTAGTTTGGAAAGACTGGGGATGGATGGATGGGGGAACCTGCTGTGACCCTGCTGTGGCCAGGAAATACATGGAAACACTAGGAGAAGATTTCCTAGCTGGTGACTAAGAAAGGAAAGAAATTGTGGAGGAGGTTTAGAGAATCAGATTCTTCAGCCCCTGCGGCCTAACCCCTTTCCAGCAAGCCCCCTGAGTATCCTTAGAATTGCAAGACATCCATTATGAAACCAGTGTCATCTCTCTAAAGCCCATGGCACAGTGCCTTAGGAATTCAGAGGCAAGCGCTGTGTTTCCTTTCTTGAAGATTTCCTTTACACAGGGCCTTAAAGTATTGTGGTTCTTGCTGCAGAAGATGTGAAGGCAGAAAACTATTAAGTTTGGGCAAAAGTAATTGTGGTTTTGGACCATGAATTTTAAATCATTATAACTAGGCTCAAGCACATCTTTATTAATCAAAATAGAAACTATTACAATCAACACCACATTTTTGCCAGTGAGAAATAAGTTTATTCCTGTAGTGTAAAACCCATGCTTTGGGATTTAATGAAGTCTTGGAAAGCTTTTATTTTTTTTTCATCCTGCTGGTTGTGTTAGAGTTTTCCCTGAAAAAAGTTGTTGAGATGCTTGAAGAAGTGTTAGTCGGTTGGCAAGACATCAGGTGATATGGCGGATGTGGCAAAACTTTGTAGCCCAAATCATTCAACTTTTGAAGAGTTGGTTGTGAGATGCATGGTCAGATGTTGTCATGGAGAAGAATTGGGCCCCTTCTGTTGACCAATGCCAGCTGCAGGCATTGCAGTTTTCAGTGCATGTCATCTATTTGCTGAGCATACTTCTCAGATGTAATGCTTCCGCTGGGATTCAGAAAGCTATAGTGGATGAGACCAGCAGCAGACTGCTGGACAGTGAACATGACCATTTTTGGTGCAAGTTTGGCTTTGGGAAGTGCTTTGGAGCTTCTTCTCAGTTGAACCACTGAGCTGGACATCACTGATTGTCATATAAAATCCACTTTTCATGGCACACCACAATCCGATGGAGAAATAGTTCATCTTAATTGTGCAGAATAAGAGAAGACACTTCAAAATGACAATTTTTAAAAAATTTTCTCTCAGCTCATGAGGCAACCACTTATTGAGCTTTTTCACCTCTCCAATTTACCTCAAATGCTGAACGACCCTATGATGGCTGATGATGAGTTCTTCAAATTCTGGTACAGTTGTAAGAGGATCAGCTTTGATGATGGCTCTCAATTGGCCATTGTCAATTTCTGATGGCCAGCCACTAGCTCATCGTCAAGGCTCTCGTCTCCTTTGCCAAACTTCTTGAACCACCACTGCACAGTATGTTCCTTAGCAGTTCCTGGGCCAAATGCGTTGTTGATGTTGTGAGTTGTCTCTGCTGTTTTATGACCCATTTTGAAATCGAATAAGAAAATCACTCAAATTTGCTTTTGGTCTAACGTAATTTCCATAGTCTAAAAACAAACATAAAATAAACAGCAAGTAATATCATTAGCAAAAAAACATAAAGCAAGAAATGCCCATTAAAATGATGTATAACATAACCGTATTTATTTAAGAATGTATTCCAACATCAAACGGCAAATTCCAACAATGCACAAACTGCAACTACATTTGCACTCACCTAATACTAAAGAACATTTCTCTTTAATTCCAGTTTAAGTGAAAAATGAGAGAAAGATTTAGCTCAGCAGCTGATTTTATTTCTGAAAATTTTTAAGGGTGCTTTTAAAAATTCACATGAAGAATCTCTCCCATTTATCTAGGTTTCTCTCTCTCTCTCTCTCTTAGAGAGAAGTTGAATTCTGTCTCACCGTGGCTACTCATGTCTCTGGCTGAGGAGGAGGACTGTGTTCTTCCTCTTGCACTTGGATTTGACATGGTATTTTAAAGGCATTGTCCTCATTCCTGTCTCCCTCCACTCCATGCTGCCTCCTCATGCCTGCTTTTTTTTTTTTTCTTGAAAAAAAAAAAAATCACAGTTTGAAGCAGACTCTTGCTTTTGGCCTTCCACTGGTGGTGAGTTTAGTGGGCAACAGGGCATAGTGGAAAGAATGTAGGCATCAGTCACATGGACCTAAGTTTGAGCCCTGACTCTGTCCACTATAGGCCTAAGGTAAGTAACTTCATTCCTTTATGCCTTCATTTTCTCCTCTCATCTCCTTCAGGGACTATGATGCCTATGCAAAGCATTTAGCATTATCTGGGTTGCATAGTAGGAATGCAAAAAATAGAAGATAATTCTACCTTTGTTTAGAGGTGGAGATGGGCTTAACAGAGCCTCTGGAAATTGTTGACTTTCTCATATTTCCAGAAGAATGGTTTTGGATCTCATCTGGGTCACAGACTCATTCAAGAGTCTGAGGAATGCCCTGGTACCCTTCCAGAGAAAAAGGAACTATGCAGGTGACACAACATTTTGTATATACTTTTATCATGTTGCCTACTCTACTTCAGTACTTCTCAACTGGTTGGACTATGAATATCCTTTTTTTAAAAAATTTTACTTTAAGTTCTGGGATACAAGTGCAGAACGTGTAGGTTTGTTACATAAGTATACATGTGTCATGGTGATTTGCTGCACCTATCAACTCATCATCTAAGTTTTGGACCCCGCATGCATTAGCTATTTGTCCTAATACTCTCCCTCCCCTTGCCCCCTAGCCCTTGACTGGCCCTGGTGTATGTTGTTCCCCTCCCTGTGTCCATGTGTTCTCATTGTTCAACTCCCACTTATGATTGAAAACACACGGTGTTTGGTTTTCTGTTCCTGTGTTAGTTTGCTGAGAATGATGGCTTCCAGATTCATCCAAGTCCCAGCAAAGGACATGATCTAATCCCACTTTATGGCTGCATAGAATTCCATGGTGTATATGTACCATATTTTCTTTATCCAGTCTATCATTGATGGGCATTTGGGTTGGTTCCATGTCTTTGCTATTGTAAATACTGCTGCAATAAACAAATGTGTGCATGTGTCTTTATAGTAGAATGATTTATATTCCTTTGGGTGTATACCCAGTAATGGGATTGCTGGGTCAAATGGTATTTCTGGTTCTAGATCCTTGAGGAATCTCCACACTGTCTTCCACAGTCTTTGAACTAATTTACATTCCCACCAACAATGTAAAGGCCTTCCTATTTCTCCACAGCCTCACTAACATCTATTGTTTTTTGACTTTTTAATAATCGCCATTCTGACTGGCATGATATGGTATCTCATTGTGGTTTTGATTTGCATTTCTCTAATGATCAATGATGTTGAGCTTTTTTTTCATATGTTTATTGGCTGCATAAATATCTTCTTTTGAGAAGTGTCTGTCCACATCCTTTGCCCACTTTTTGATGAGGTTGTTTGTTTTTTCTCTTGTAAATTTGTTTAAGTGCCTTGTAGATTCTGGATACTAGGCCTTTGTCAGATGGGTAGATTGCAAAAATTTTCTCCCATTCTGTAGGTTGCCTGTTCACTCTGATGATAGTTTGTTTTGCTGTGTGCAAGCTCTTTAGTTTAATTAGATGCCATTTGTTAGTTCTGGCTTTTGTTGCCATTGCTTTTGGTGTTTTTGTCATGAAGTCTTTGCCCGTGCCCATGTCCTGAATGGTATTGCCTAGGTTTTCTTCTAGGGTTTTTGTGGTTTTGGGTTTTACATTTAAGTCTTTAATCCATCTTGAGTTAATTTTTGTATAAAGTGTAAGGAAGGGGTCCAGTTTCCGTTTTCTGCATATGGCTAGCCAGTTTTCCCAGCACCATCAATTAAATAGGGAATCCTTTCCCCATTTATTGTTTTTGTCAGGTTTGTTGAAGATCAGATGGTTGTAGATGTGTGGTGTTATTTCTGAGGTTTCTGTTGTGTTCCATTGGTCTATGTGTCTGTTTTGGTACAAGTACCATGCTGTTTCGGTTAGTGTGCTCTTGTAGTATAGTTTGAAGTCAGGTAGCGTGATGCCTACAGCTTTGTATTTTTTTTTTTTTTTTTTTTTGCTTAGGATTGTCTTGGCTATGTGTTCTCCTTTTTGGTTCCACATAAAATTAAAGTGTTTTTTTTCTAATTCTGTGAAGAATGTCAATGGTATTTTGATGGGAACAGCATTGAATCTATAAATTTCTTTGGGCAGTTTGGCAGTTTTCATGATATTGATTCTTCCCATCATGAGAATGGAATGTTTTTCTATTTGTTTGTGTCTTCTCTTATTTCCTTGAGCAGTGGTTTGTAGTTCTCCTTGAAGAGGTCCTTCACAAGCCTTGTTAGCTGTATTCCTAGGTATTTTGTTCTCTTTCTAGTGATTGTGAGTGGGAGTTTATTCATGATTTGGCTCTCTGCTTGTCTATTGTTCGTATATAGGAATGCCTATGATTCTTGCACATTGGTTTTGCATCCTGAGACTTTGCTGAAGTTGCTTATCAGCTTAAGGAGGTTTTGGGCTGAGACGATGGGGTATTCTAAATATAAAATCATGTTGTCTGCAAACTGAGACAATTGGAATTCCTCTCTTTCTCTTTGAATACTCTTTATTTCTTTCTCTTGCCTGGTTGCCCTGGTCAGAACTTCCAATACTATGTTGAACAGGAGTGATGAGAGAGGGCATCTTTGTCTTGTGCCAGTTTTCAAAGGGAATGCTTCTAGATTTTATGCATTCAGTATGACATTGGCTGTGGGTTTGCCATAAATAGCTCTTATTATTTTGAGATATGTTGTATCAGTACCTAGTTTATTGAGAGTTTTTAACATGAAAGGATGTTGAGTTTTATCGAAGGCATTTTCTGAATCTATTGAGATGATCATGTGGTTTTTGTCATTGGCTCTGTTTATGTGATGAATTACATTTATTGATTTGTGTATGTTGAATCAGCCTTGCATCCCAGGGATGAAGCTGACTTGATCATGGTGGATAAGCTTTTTGATATTCTGCTGGATCCAGTTTGCAGTATTTTATTGAGGATTTTTGCATCAATGTTCATCAGGGATATTGCCCTGAAGTTTTCTGTTTTTGTTGTGTCTCTGCCAGGTTTTGGTGTCACGATAATGCTGGCCTCATAAAATGGGTTAGGGAGGAATCCCTCCTTTTTAGTTGTTTGGAATAGTTTCAAAAGGAAGGGTACCAACTCCTTTTTGTGTCTCTGGTAGAATTTGGCTAGGAATCTGTCTGGTCCTGGGATTTTTTTAGTTGGTAGGCTGTTAATTACTGCCTCAATTTCAGAACTTGTTATTGGTCTATTCAGGGATTCGGCTTCTACCTAATTTAGTCTCAGGAGTGTGTATGTGTCCAGGAATTTATCTATCTCTTCTAGTTTTTCCTAGTTTATTTGCACCTTCTCTGATGGTAGCTTGTATTTCTGTGGGGTCAGTGGTGATACCCCCTTTATAATTTTTTATTGAATCTATTTGATTCTTCTCTCTTTTCTTGTTTATTAGTCTAGCTAATAAACAAAAAATTAACAAAAAATTTGGTTAATTTTTTCAAAAAACGAGTTCTTGGATTCATTGATTTTTTTGAAGGGTTTTTCATGTCTCTATCTCCTTTAGTTCTGCTCTGATCTTAGTTATTTCTTGTCTTCTGCTAGCTTTTGGATTTGTTTGCTCTTGCTTCTCTAGCTCTTTTAATTGTGATGTTACAGTGTAGATTTGAGATCTTTCTAGCTTTCTGATGTGGGCATTTAGTACTATACATTTCCCTCTTAACACTGCTTTAGCTGTGTCCCAGCGACTCATTGTCTCTTCTTATTTTTTCGAAGAACTTCTTGATGTCTGCCTTAATTTCATTATTTACCCAGGAGTCATGCATGAGCAGGTTTTTCAATGTCCATGTGGTTGTGTGGTTTTGAGTGAGTTTCTTTTTTTTTTTTTTTCTTTTTTTTTTTTTTTGTTGAGAAGGAGTCTCGCTCTATCATCCAGGCTGGATGGAGTGCAGTGGCGCTATTTCGGCTCACTGCAAGCTCCGCCTCCTGGGTTCATGTCATTCTCCTGCCACCATGCCTGGCTAATTTTTTGTACTTTTAGTTGAGACAGGGTTTCACCGTGTTAGCCAAGATGGTCTCGATCTCCTGACCTCATGATCCACCCGCCTTGGCATCCCAAAGTGCTGGGATTACAGATGTGAGCCACCGTGCCCGGCCCTTGAGTGAGTTTCTTTATCCTGAGTTCTAATTTGATTGTACCATGGTCTGAGACACTGTTTGTTGTGATTTCATTCTTTCGCATTTGCTCTGGAGTATTTTACTTCCAATAATGTGGTCGATTTTAGAATACGTGCCATGTGGCACTCAGAAGAATATATATTCAGTTGATTTGTGGTGGAGAGTTCTGTAGATGTCTCTTAAGTCCACTTGATCCAGAGCTGAGTTCAAGTCTTTAATATCCTTGTTAATTTTCTGTCTTGTCGATCTGTCTAATATTGACAGTGGGGTGTTAAAGTCTCTGACTATTATCATGTGGGAGCCTAAGTCTCTTTGTAGGTCTCTAAGAACTTGTTTTATGAATCTAGGTGCTCTTGTACTGGGTGCGTATATATTTAAGATAATTAGCTCTTCTTGTTGAATTGATCCCTTTACCATTATGTAATGCCCTTCTTTGTCTTTTCTGATCTTTGTGGGTTTAAAGTCTGCTTTGTCAAAGAGTAGGATTGCAACCCCTACTTTTTTTTTGCTTTCCATTTGCTTGGTGAATACTCCTCCATCCCTTTATTTTGAGCCTATGTGTGTCTTTGCACATGAGATGGGTCTTCTGAACACAGCACACCAATGGGTCTTGACTCTTTATCCAATTTGCCGTTCCGTGACCTTTAATTGGAGCATTTAGCCCATTTACATTTAAGGTTAATATTGTTATGTATAAATTTGATCCTGTCATCATGATGCTAGCTGGTTATTTTGCACACTAGTTGATGCAGTTTCTTCATAGTGTCATTGGTCTTTATATTTTGGTGTGTTTTTGCAGTGGCTGGTACCAGTTTTTCTTTTCTATATTTAGTGCTTCCTTCAGGAGCTCTTGTAAGGCAGGCCTGGTGAGGTGAAATCCCTCAGCATTTGCTTTTCTGGAAAGGATCTTATTCCTCCTTTGCTTATGAGGCTTACTTTGGCTGGATATGAAATTCTGGGTTGAAAATTATTTTCTTTAGAAATGTTGAATACTGGCCCCCACTCTCTTCTGGCTTGTAGGGTTTCTGCTGAGAGGTCTGCTGTTAGTCTGATGGGCTTCCCTTTGTAGGTGACCTGGCCTTTCTCTCTGGCTGCCATTAACATTTTTTCCTTCATTTTGACCTTCAAGAATCTGAAGATTATATGTCTTGGGGTTGATCTTCTTGTGGAGTATCTTAGTGGTGTTCTCTGTATTTCCTGAATTTGAATGTCGGCCTGTCTTGCTAGGTTGGGGAAGTTCTCCTGGATAATATCCTGAAGAGTGTGTTCCAACTAGGTTCCATTCTCTCTATCTCTTTCATGTACTCTAGTCAATCGTAGGTTCAGTCTTTTTACAGAGTCCCATATTTCTCGGAGGTTTTATTAATTTCTTTTCATTCTTTTTTCTCTAATCTTGCCTGCATACTTTATTTCAGCAAAATGGTCTTCAAACTCTGATATCCTTTCTTTTGCTTGGTCAGTTCGGCTACTGATACTTGTGTATGCTTCGCAAAGTTCTTGTGTTGTGTTTTTCAGCTCCATCAGGTCATTTATGTTCCTCTCTAAACTGGTTATTCTAGTTAGCAGCTCCTATGACCTTTTATCAAGGTTCTTAGCTTCTTTGCATTGGGTTAAAACAAGCTCCTTTAGCTCACTGGAGTTTGTTATTACCCATCTTCTGAAACCTACTTCTGTCAATTTGTTAATTTCATCCTCCATCCAGTTCTGTGCCCATGCTGGAGAGGTGTTGCAATCATTTGGAGGAGAAGAGATATTCTGGCCTTTCGGGTTTTCAGCACTTTTTTTGTTGATTCTTTCTCATCTTCCTGAGTTTGTCTAGTAGTGATCTTTGAGGCTGCTGACACTTGGATAGGGTTTTTGTGGGGTTTTTTTTTGTTGTTGTTGATGCTATTATTGCTTTCTGTTTGTTTATTTTTCTTGCAAGGGTCAAGCCTCTCTTCTGTAGGGATGCTGTGATTTGCTGGTGGTTCACTTCAGGCCCTATTCATCTGGTTTGCTCCCACGCCTGGAGATGTCAGTTAAGGAGGCTGGAGAACAGCACAGATGGGTGCCTGCTTCTTCCTCTGGGATCTCTGACCTTGAGGGGCACTGACCTGATGCCTGTAGGAATGCTCCTGTATAGGGTGTCTGACAAACCCTGTTGGAGGGTCTCACCCAGTTGGGTGGCACAAGGAGCAGGACCCGTTTTAACGAAGCACTTTGACTGTCCTTGGTGGAGGGGGTGTGCTTTGCTGGGGGGAAACCCACTCATCTGAGCTGCCTGGATTCCCCAGAACGCCTCCCTTGGCTGTGTGTGTGTGTGGGGCTCCCCTGCCCCGTGTGTCTCTCAGGTGGGTTGCCGCACCACACTGCTCTTCCTTTCCCTCCGTGAGTCACGATAGCCACCTAGTCAGTTCTGATGACAGAACCTGGATACCTCATTTGCCAGTGCAGGATTGGCATGCTGTTATGGTTCTCTTCAATGGCAGCCTCCCATCACCACTGCTTCTAGTCAGCCATCCTGGCCCTGCACAATCGAATATCCTTTTTTAAAGACAATATATTTTGCCTTCCACTCCACTCCCCCTACCTTACAGAAGTGGCGCTTCTCATCCTATTGACTAAGAAAATACCTAATGACACGCAGCTATTCTGAAATTTGTAATGCTTCTGAAATATTTGGCATTTTATTAATCACAGCATCTACAGAGATTGAAAGGAAAAGTTTAAAAAATGTATCTGTGGGCTGCATGATGGATTCCATCTGCATTCAGAGCTTGGTGTCCATGTGGATTCCTCCATTGTGGGAAATCTTTCCTATAGACAGCTTTATGGAATCAAAGACTGGAAGGAAATCAAAGCACCCTTCCATCCAGCTCCATTATTTTATATAGCACAGAGGTCAAAGGAGGGAAAGCAACTTTTCCAAAATCACACAGCCAGACAGAATTAGAGGGAAGACCAGAACCCATGATCCCCATGGTCTTGCTGCTGCCTGAAGCTAACTCTCTCTGGTAGCTCTGGGTTAGTGGAAATTCTTTCCTGTCAGCCAGTGGCAGTGGCCTGTGGGGAGTGAATTAAGAAATGAAGCTTGGCAGGTGACTCCAGTCTTGGAGCTACAGTGACTGTATAATTTATCATCCAAAGTGGGACACATTTGAGAGTGAAAGGGAGCACTATTAATAATGATTCCAGGGCAGTAGGTGAAACTAGGACTCTTCTGGGCAAGCTGGGGCATATGGCCACTCTGCTAGAAGCCTATGTAGGCCTACAAAGGGCCTATTTCAGAGCTCTTTAAAAGCCATCTCTCTATAGGGATATCTTACTTGGAGGAAGTCAGGCGAAGTGTCTACCCTTGCTTCTTGCCAGTTTCATGCCTTGAGAGCACAGCAAAAAGCCTCAAATTGTGCAAACTCATTGGGAATGACATGTCTCTTACTGTAAACTGCCAAGAGGTTTTTAGCCTCCAGTTTCTCACCCCTAATCTACCTTGAAGGTGCAGAAAGGCTCAGAAAGAGCTGATACTCATGATGAGAAGGAACTAAGGAAGAGGGTGGCCTGTGCTGCTTATTAGATCTTAGCAGGTGACCCCACGCAGGGGAATGCCTGTAGGCCTGGAGAGGGGTCTTTCCCAGTGGGAAGAGAGTGCCCTTTTCTGGTCCTAAGCTCAGAAGGATCATCAGTTTTTATAGACATCACAGGGTTGTGAGCCTAGTGTCCTGCAGAGTTCTTGGGACTGGGTGCCCTTCTAGGTAACCTTAAGTAAGCACTTCTTTTCTCCTTAGTTTTCTAATGTATGAAATTGGAGGTTGGTCTAATTTACTGCTGCTGTGGGTTAGTCAGAGTGTGATAGTCTGTGCTGCAGTAACGAATACCCTCCACATCTGAGTGATTTCACGTAACAAGGATTTATTTCTCACTCATGCTACACATTTAACATAGATGGGCAGGGTGGGCACTGCTCTTATAGCTACTCAGGGTCCCAGGCTCCATTTGATGATGCATGATTCACGAAGCTATAGCAGGGAATAGGAAAGTGGGAATTGAGTGCTGGCAACTAAATACTTGCACCTAAAGTAACATGTACCATTCACATTTTATTGGTCAAAAGCAGCCACATGGTCACACCTAAACCTCAAGAAGGTAAAAAAGAGCAGCCTTACTGTGTGTCCAAAAGTTGGACAATCAGAATAAATATTTATAAATGCTCCCATGATTAACCCACCCTTAAATTGTCTTAATTTTTAGTGTTACAGTGGAAAGATCATTTTCTTTTTACTCCCTAAATAAAATCTAATTGAGATGCATACAATATTAAATAGGTAGAAGTGAAGTTAATTTGGTTGCAATGAGAGTTGATAACCTAGAGCTTCACCCTTTAGTGACAGCTTGATTTTGTCTTTTTTAGGAAGATAATACGATAACATTGGAGATGATAGTTTGGGGAGGGAAGTACAAGGGAGAAAGGAGACCAGCTGAGTGACTTTTTAGAGTTCGTTAGACCAAGAAGAATAAAAATGAGGGCTGGAGTAGAAGATGGGATAGGAAGGTATATCAGTTTTCTGTAGCTGCATAACAGTTACCCCAGAATTAGTTGCTTTAAGCAACATGTTTAGTATCTCAGTTTCTGTGGGTCAGGAATCTGGGCATGGCTTAGCTGGGTCCTCTGATTTGAGGTTTCTCCCCAGCTGTAGTTAAGGTGATGACCAGGGCTCCTGTTATCTGGAAGTTCAACTGGGTCAGGATCCTTTTGCAAAGACTCTCAGGGGTTGTTGGCAGGACTCAGTTTCTTACTGGCTGTTAGCTGGAAGTCACTCTGTCCTTTACCAGGTAGCTCTCTCCATCAGAACAAACAGAGCCAGAAAGAGAATCGGAGCAAGATGGAAGTCTCAGAATTTTGTAACCTGATAACAGAAGTGGCATCCCATTGTGTTTGCCGTGGTCTATTGCTTGGAAATCTCGAGGTCCAGCCCATGCTCAGGACCTTACACAAGGGGACTGCACTAGGGTGCAGACACCAGAGGGGAGACCACTGGGAGCTATATCAGAAGTCACCTACTACAGGAGCATCTGGAAGAAGTGGAGAAACCTGAGCTGACATGAACAAGACTGAGGATTATGGGGATAAAGAAGGAGTAGACAGTGCTTCCAGAGCTTTAGTTTGGGCAAGGATGATTGCTGATGCCATTATTTGAAATGAGCATGGCAAAGTGAGGAGACAGGGGAAGTGAGTTAAGCCTTGAGACATTAAATGTCAAACTGAGCATGAATCATTCTGGGCCCCTGGCTACTCAGAAGCCCAGTAGAAAGGAACTCTTGACTTCCAACTGGGCACCCACAGTCATACTGCTCTATTCTCTCTTACTCCTCTCTGTGCCTTAGAGTTTGCACTGACTAAAGGAATTCAGAGTGAGGTTGCCAGCAAGCAGAGGTGATTAAAGTGGGTTTAACATTCCAGTCATTTCCATGGAAATTACTAGGCTCTGACTCTTGTGCCAGGTCCCTGCGTCTGCTGCTAGAGCTGAGGAGTCAAAGCCCAAACTTTCATGAGGCTTTAAGGAGACCATGAAAAAGACACAGGGCTGTACACAGTCAAGCCTGCCCAGCTCAGCTCTTTTTGAGAAACATGGCAAGTGACTTATTTAACATTATTTTTTTCCATGTGTGTAAACATCCTAAAAGGTTGACCTAAATGAGTTCTTAGCAAGATCTGATAGCCCAGGACAATGAAATAATCCGTTTTAATAGGATTACAGGCTGCGCTAAGGGAGACTGGCAGCTTTTAGCCTCTGCCTTGTAATATGTGCTTAAAGAAAGCACGGGAGAGAGGAGACAGAAGACAGGTTTCCTGTGTTGTTTTGCACTCCCTTAACTGCTGATATCTCTAGCTCACAGTATCTTTGGCTGCTCAAACTGAGGACATCTGGGATCCTCTTCCAGCATTGTCTCCAGCTAGTTCTGAGTCTTTCCGCCTCTCCAGACTTTCGTGAAAGGATACAGTGAACTGAACAATCCCTCAAGGATAGTAGAGTAAAGGCCTGGTTTCTTCAGGTCATCCTTCCCCCAAGGTCTCCTCCTATCTCCATTATTTCAGGTTCTTGATTGCATGAGTCAGTGGGGAATAGACTACAGACTTGACCCAGGGAGTCTCCAAGAGAGATTCTGCGTGCTGGAGCCCGGGCTGTTCCTGGGTCTCGTGACACCGGTCATGATGTTCACGATACAGAGTCTCTGTAGTACTCACTGTGGAAAGTGCTGCCATGTGGGAAAGGGGTTGTATAAAGTATTTTCCTAGTGCAAAGCAGCCCTGTGAGTAGCAGGCCTTCCCTCCTTTACTTATGTTTGGAGAGGGAATGCTGGCTGACACGCAGGAGGACCTGATCTGAATTTTAAATGGAATTCCTTCTCTAACGACGACACGTTCTGTGAATGGCAAGGCCAATCAAGAAGAAAAAAATTAAATTCCATCCTCACAAAGGCAGGTGAGACCCGTGTCAGATCAGTAGCAAACTGTTAATTAAGAATATATTCTGCAAAAGGACCCATGCTCAGTGCACCAGAATGCCTGAAGTCAGCGCTTTAAAGGCAATAAAGCTAATTCAAAAATGTATTCATTGAGTCATAATGAGTGAATGAAAACAATATTTTGTCAAAGTTTCATCAATTAAAGAAGCACAAAGAGGCTATCTTATTAATCACCAGTTTGAATGTTCTGAATATCAGCTTGGTTTAAAAAAAAATTATTTTTTTAGCCTCAATCAAGCTCCTTGCATGTCTAGCAGAAGCCAATCTGCTTATTTGAAGATATGATTTTTTTTTCTGCGTATGGACCATATATATATATACTTCTTATTCATTATTACCTGGTCCACACTTTGGATTTCTCTTGCCTTGTCTTGAGAGTGGACCACACTCTGCTTTGCCCACCATGGCCCAAGATCAAAGGTGGATATTTCTTAAGATAAATGAGTGAGGTTATAAATGGAATCTGAAGCCAGAGAATAGCAGAGTAGGAGGAGCAAAGTCAGTCAATTCATCAACTCTCTTTATTAAGCACTTGTTTTGTGCACAGCACCATGGGGATATAGGATATAGAAGGTGCATGAACCAGAGTGCCTGCCTCCAATTGGCTTTTATTTATTTTTTTCCCTGAGACGAAGTCTCGCTCTGTTGTCCAGGCTGGAGTGCAGTGGCGCGATCTTGGCTCACTTCAAACTCTGCCTCCCAGGTTCAAGCAACTCTCCCTGACTCAGCCTCCCAAGTAGCTTTTAAGAAAGATAATGTTAGGGAGTAGAAGGACAACCTCAGAGGGCAGGGATCATGCCTATCTTGTTTGTGGTTTATATGTCCAGTGGCTTGATTAATGCAGGATGTTTAAAAAAAAAGGTGTTATTTGAATGGCTGAATGTGGAAAATAATGAGGACAAATGGTGTTCAGGAAAAAGAGAAGGTTTGGGATCACGGAGCATGCAGAGAAAGAGCATATGCCAAGAGCACATCTGTCCCTAGGTCTGGTGTCTTGTCTTCGTCCCTGCTTTTCTCTGCCTACCAAAGCCATCTGGTACTTTAAAGCTCCTTTAGCTTTTTCTCTAAGTTATCTCCCTTGATCTTGAAGCCAAAAGAGATCTCCCACTCCTTAGGTTGCAATAACATTTTATTTTAATTAGTAATAAGGCATTTATAAGACATCATATATTTCACTGGAGGCTAGTAGGAAGAAATGAGCCAGACTTTTTTTTTGAAAAATATTTAATTTTGGATATAATCCCAGGATAGAAGTACTATCATTATCTCTTTTTTACAGCAGTGGATACAGGCACAGGAAGGTTGAGGAACTTACCAAAGAGCCAGAGCTGCCATGAGGTGGTCCAGAATGATACTCAGGCCTGTTGGGCTCCATCTCCTTTCATCTTCACCAAGTCATGCTGTTTTCTTTTCTCCTCTCTTCTTTCCTCCCATCCCAGATCCTTCCCCTGCAATGCACTTGGTTGATTCACATCTTATATCACTTGAAGATTTTACCCTTGAGGAGGGTGATGGGCATAGCATGTCTTGTTCTATGTTCACTATATTGCACAAGATACTCTAGCTTGTCTTTGATAAACAGAGACAACCATATTTCCACTTCCTGTGCCTTAGCCCTGACCTAATGTCCTTCCTGTTCTATAATTCAAATGAGGCCCACAGTTACTTCCCCTTTTTGCCAAACTCCCTGGTCTCAGCTGGGAAGCCAGTTGAATAGGGGACAGCCAGGACTCGAAATTGAGGCCTGTATATGATGAACCATACTCCATTTAGTGCTTAAGGCTGATACGGTGAGCCCAGTGTTATAAGCATCTTAGAATTCAAAATTCAAACCCAAAAATATTTAGTAAACACCATAAGCAGAGATGTAGTCCTCAAAGATTAAAAGAGAGGGAGGGGACAAGGAAAATGAAAAAAAGTACTGTTACTTCCTGGAGCATGGGAGTTTGACAATCATGACTCAGAAATAAGGCTAGATCAGAAGGCTTTTCTAGGCCAATTCAGTACCGGGACCTATGTTCCCTGGGCTCCAGGCCATCCTGCCTGGGAACTGTCTGTGGGAAAACTGATATGGGTTTGCTGTGATTCCCATACCCAGTCTACCTGGCCTTCCTCATACCCAAGATGTGTAATTATGTACAGGCTCTCCACGTTTGAGAGGTGGCCTGTCTGTGATCACAGGTTAGATGGCATCACCTGGCACCAGTGGAGTTAAAATGCCAAGTCTTGGCCCCCTTGGGGCTGTGCTCAGATAATGCAGCTCTAACTGCAGAATGTGACCTTGGCTCCTTCAAGGACAAGAAAAGGTGACCCAATAATTCTGATTTGAGTGGAAATCACATTTGCTAATCCTGTCCTCACTCAGACTCAGGGGCCTCCAGCATGGCTGGCCAGTTCTTCTCGATGTCTACTCAGTTCATTTTCACTTTTGCTTTAATTTTCACCTCAGTTGCTTGGATTTCTGTTTGATTTCTCAAACCAATCTCTCTTTACCCTACAGTTGACTTGGTCTCCTGATTACAAGAGGCCTTCTGTGATCCTCTGGCCCTATTTTCTTGTTGGACATCAGCTCCTGACCCCAGACAATGGCCTCAGCCTCAGAATTTGTATTTTGGGAAGGAGTGTTCTTGACCAAAGCTAGTTGTCCTATCCTAGTCCAGCTATAACCCTTTTACTTAGAGCTTTTTTCTAATTAACCCCTCCTGGGTGCCCACATACCTTTGTGAGCTAGGCCGTACTGCCTGCTAGCCCTGCCCAAAGCCAAGTTCACTCTTGAACTTTTTTGCTTGGGTCATCAAGAAATGGACCTTCTGTGTATTTCAAATCTCTAAGACGAGTTTGCAGAGATGCTTCTGGGCTCCTTTTCAGTGATGATTTATGCATGGTGAGTAGAAAAGCATGCTGTTTTATTCCTTTTAAAACTTAGTAATGACTTGGGGGAGAACAGTACATCTATATCTGTATCTTTTCCTTTCTCTGTACCTGTGTCCCTTTCTCTATCTAAATCTGTATATCTACATCTATATTTGAATATATAGAGATACAATCATGTGAATTTAGTAGTCCAGTAGAGCTTTGCCATGCCATTGTCCATTATGTATGTTTGACCTAGTAGATTTTGACACTTATTTGCAATGCAAAGATGCCAAGTTGCATCATGCCTGTCAAGAAATATATATGTAAATATAGGCCAATCCCTTAAAGGGAAATAAAAATATATGGTGTTTGTCTTTGTGCTAAGGAGATGCTCATATTCAAATCATGGCGGAATAATACCCACTAGGAAAATGAGACTCTTACTAAATGACCTAGGGTGAGTCCCTCAAACTCTCAGAGCCTCATTTTATCAACAGAAAAAAAGGATTTAGACCAGGTGATCTCTGAGGGTAGGCCAACTCCTAGGATACAGAAGTTTTTGATATTTGACTGTCATTATTTAATGATAGCTTTTACTCAAAATCTGGTCTTAAAGAATCTTTTTATAAAATTACAATGGCATGCAGAAGAACAGAATACTCCTGAGTCTGGGTTGTATCTCAGTCAAGGTATAGTTAGGAAACCAATGCTGGGTAGCTCGGCAGGGATAGTTTAATACAAGGTACCCATTACAAAATGTTGGAAGCAAAATGAAGCCAAACGGGACAGACAAGAAACTCAGAGATTAGCAGTAGCGGATAGTCAGTATCATCCTTGGGTTGTAAAGATAAAGAAGGAGATAGTTTTGTCAAAGCACAAAATCCCAAATCTAGGACTCCTAGGGGGAGATCGGACAAGGAAGGGAGGGACAGACTAGTGACAGCTAGGACCATCGCTACTTCCAGGAGTGTCACTCGGAGCAGAAAGAGAGAGAGCACAGGGCAGAAATAGCTTGCCTTGTTTTTGCCCTTCTTTCTCCAAATGATCTCAGAAACTAAAGGCAGCCAGAGGGCAAGCGAGTCTGGGATCCACTGTTTGCAGCAGTCACCCCGCTGCAATACGAAGCAGGCAAGGGACGGGATAGGGAAGGATCTGAGGGCAAGCAAGCAGCTGGCTGGCGCATGCAGGCTGGGAAATACTCTCTCTAGCCTTTATGAGTCCCATCCTAGCACGGCTTTCCAATGACCTGGCTGCCTGAAAAGGGGACTCAGATGTGGAAAGATGTTTCTTAGACCTTTTCACCCACTATCACCTAACATTTGGATTAATGTGGTAAGCAGCTTCCAGGTTCTCAGTTGTAACAAATGTGTGAGACTTCCAATTAATAACTATAGTTCCTGAGCACCTGCTATATGCCAAGCAGTTTATATGCAATAGCCCCTTCTATCTTTTGGCAACCCTACTTGGAAGATACAAATACCTGTATTTTAAAGATGAAGAAAATAAGGTAAGTAAGATGGAGCTATGTGCCCAAGGGTCACAGCTGGATTTGTAGGGAGTGGATACAACTCAACTCAGGGAGTTTTGACTTTAAAGCTCTTTCTCAAATAGAAGCAAGGCTAAGTCAGTTAGAGCTCAGCATTCTATAAGGAATGGCATTTTGATTTCTGGAAGCAACCACTTCAAAATGCCAGGAAGCAGCAGCAACAGCAAACACTAGGGGAGGGAGTAACCACCGGGCCTCAAACCTTCCGAGAAGCGTCCGCCTAGAAAGCAGCACCCCTCCCTGCCATCCCCTCCCATTCAGGGGGCTTCCGGCTTCTTATTCTTCCTGGCAGCTTGTTGGGATCATGCACTTCTTGGCCCCTATAACCAGATTTCCTTATTTACAGAATCACACTTGGCTGGTAAATGTGCTTGGGGAAAATAAGATAATACAAATGCTATTTGGAAGAAATTTCTGAGTAAGGCCATTAGAGCCAAGAGTAAAAATAAGGTGGGGAGATAAGTGGATTGTTTTTCCCCCTCTGAAGAGAAGGAAGGCTGGTGACAATGACAGCGAAGAGCTGGAACGCAAGCGGCAGAAGGTGAAGGCAGGGAAGGACAGGATGGGAATGGAAAAATGCTGACTGATACAAAACAAGCAGACAAGCAGCTGATCGTCTGGGAAGTAAATACAAGGAGCAAGAGGGCAGCTGTCTGGAATCCAGACAACCCAGGGTACATTGCCCATGTACCCTTCACACTAAAAGAGAACATTGTTGGGACGAGGACTTAGGGGTTATATACTAGCATGGACATGGAACAAGCATCCAGGAATACTCATGGGTACCAGGAATTTGAAGAGGATTCACCACTTAGTGCTATGGTTTGAATGTGTCCCTCAAAGTTTGTGTGTTGGAAACTTAATCCCCAATGCCACAGCATTAGAACTTGGGGCCTAAGAAGAGGTGGTTAGCTCATGAGAGCTCTGCCCTTAGGTACAGATTCATGTTGTTGTCTCAGGAATGGGTTAGTCATCAGGAGAATGGGCTTGTTATGAAAATGAGTTTGGCCACATCTCTCTCTTGCTCTCTCACTATCTCTTGCCCTTCCATTCTCCACCATGGGTTGACACAGCATGAAGGCCCTTGCCAGATGTGGACATCTTGATATTGGACTTCCCCAGCATCCAGAACTAAGAAATTCTTTCCTTCCTTCCTTCCTTCCTTCCTTCCTTCCTTCCTTCCTTCCTTCCTTCCTCTCTCTTTCTCTTTCTTTCTTTCTTTCTTTCTTTCTTTCTTTCTTTCTTTCTTTCTTTCTTTCTCTTTCTTTCTTTCTTTCTGTCTGTCTCTTTCTCTCCCTCCCTCCCTCCTTCCCTCCTTCCCTCCTTTCCTTCTCCCCTCCTGTCCTCCTTTCCTCCTTTCCTCCTTTCTTCCTTTCTTCCTTCCTTCCTTCCTTCCTCCCTCCCTTCCTTCATCTTTTAAGACAGGGTCTCACTCTGTTGCCCAGGCTGGAGTACAACGGCATGATCACAGCTCACTGCAGCCTCGACCTCCTAGGCTGTTGTCATCCTCCTGCCTCAGCATTCCAGGTAACTGGGATTGCAGGTGAACATCACCACATCTGGCTATTTTGTATTTCTTTTAATAGAAATGAGGTTTTGCAATGTTGCCCAGGCTAGTCTTGAACTTCTGAGCTCAAGTGATCCACCTACCTTGGCATCCCAACGTGCTGGGATTACAAATATGAACCACCATACCCAGCCAATTTATTTTCTGTATAAATTACTCTGTCTGTAGTATTCTCATATAGCAACACAAAATGAATGAAGACAAGTAGGATCCCCATAAACAGGTGACCCATCTTCCTGAGCCTCAGATTCTTGTTTTAATTGATTAAAGATGTTAATAATATTTTCTTATAGCATATGGCAGAGGTGAAGTTTAAGTGAGCTAACTGATATGATAGTGCTTTACTGATTGGTAAAAACCGTGCAAAGATTATTTCTGGTATGTCTACCCCATGCCCTAAAATTGCTTCTCTTAATGGTATTCAGTGTGGGAGGTGGTGACATACTGTCCCATGCTGGTCAGAATGGATAGAACTTAGGGAGTTCTGACTTTCAAGCTCTTTCTCAAACAGAGGCAAGGCCAAGTCAGGCAGAGCTCACTATTCTATAAAGAATGGTGTTTTGATTCCCGGAAGCAACAGCTTTGAAACTGTTGCTTTCACCTCTTTCACAAGAGATATGGTCAAGTGAGAGGATGTGTGGAGGGCGGTCCCCGGTGCAGTATAAGGACTAGCAGCAACTGCGGGCAAAGGGACCACGGGCATGAAGGGCCTCGTGTGGTAGATGTAGGTCAGGGTGGAGAGATTGGTGGGATTAATTCGTCTGTGAAGCTACACAGGGCAAAATTAGGATCAATGTTTAGATATTTCAGAAAGGCATATTTCAGGCATGTTTCAGCATGAAAGGAAGACTTATTAATAATTTCAGTTAGCCAAACATTAGATGGGCTACTTTGTGAAATAGTGAGTTCTCTGCCATCAGAGGTGTTCAAACTGAGGCTGAATATTTTGGAAGAGATACTTTATACTACTGGGTTGTACTAGATGGTCTGGGAGACCTCTCGTAGGCCAAATTTACTGCAAATTTATTTTTTTAGCTCTACTCAAATGTGACTCACTTCTCAGTAAGGATACACCTTCATGGTAAGAAATGATCCAGGCAAGGAAGGCACAGGGATCCCAAAGAGGGACCAATTCTCTCTCTAAGAGCTTTCACAAGGGGCAAAGCTAACGATGGCGGCATCCCTGGCTGCTGGGAGAAATGCTGGTAGCTTCTCCAGCTCTGCGAGACAACACTTCCCCGCAACAGATGACTTTTATCACAGGTCATCCTGTCAAATATCCTGGAGAATAAAGGAATACTCATGGGTACTGAGGAAGCATGCAGGAATTTGAACAGGATTCAGCACTTAGTGCTATGGTTTGAATGTGTCCCTCAAAGTTTATGTGTTGGAAACTTAATCCCCAATGCCACAGCATTGGAACATGGGGCCTAAGAAGAGGTCCCATGATAGATTCCAATTTTGCAAGTGGGATAATCAGGAGTCAGAAAATGGTCACTTACTACAACTTGCAGAGTGGGGCTGGCTAGGATCTGAAGATCTCAGTTATTACAAACCTCTCATTGTATAGATGGGAACACTGAGACCCAGGAAAACAGAACGATTTGCCTCAATTCACATTATGAGTGGTGGCAGGGTCAGTGCTGAATCATTCTTTGGTCCTGTGTCACATGATATCTCCCAGTTCGTTATTAAGGAGTTGGAAGAAGGGGCTGATATGCTCTCATTGAGACAGTCAGATCAGAGAGACTGTGGACCTTCTTTTCTGACCTGTTGTCCCATTCTGAACCTTCGGGAAAAGTGTTTCAAGTAAATGGAAAATTTCTGGAGCCCAGCAGAATTTGAGGTCTGGTAGAGAAGAAGATACAGATGACCAGCTAACCATCTGCTCTGCTTTTCTTCACCCTGCAAAGGGATAGAAAACTACAATATGGCTGGACGCAGTGGCCATATTGTAGCTTGTAATCCCAGCATTTTGGGAGGCCGAGGCATGCAGATCACTTGAGGTCAGGAGTTTGAGACCAGCCTGACCAATATGGTGAAACTCTGTCTCTACTAAAGATACAAAAATTAGCCGGGCGTGGTGGTAGGCACTTTGTAGTCTTAGCTACTTGGGAGGCTGAGGCAGGAGAATCACTTGAACCCAGGAAGCGGAGGTTGCAGTGAACCGAGATCATGCCACTGCACTCCAGCCTGGGCGACACATGGAGACTCCATCTCAAAAATAAATAAATAAATAAATAAAAGAAAAAAGAAAGAAAGAAAGGGAAAAGTTACAATACATGCTCTCTGGCCATGAGTGATCACTGAAGCAACAAATGGTAGTGGATTCAGCAGCAGCAACAGCAGCAGGTTTGGGTTATCTGTCATGCTACACAGCCTTATCACTGTAATTATATCAAGAACAAGTTTTCTATTTGAAAAAGGAGCTGGCGTACAAGAGGCACCTCCCACCGAAACAACAGGTGCATTGGCGGCACCTGTCACTGCTGCTGCTGCAGGTGCCTGGCGTCTTGGCACAGGCTGGCTTTGCTGGACCTCAGCTGGACAGAATGGGCAAGGAGGTCTCCACCCTGCAGGCCCTGGGACTTAGGTGATGAGTCAGGCTTTCTTTAGTCATTTTCCAGAATTGTCACTTTCCTGCCTGACTGGAAGGAGAGAGAGACAAAAATAGAGACAGAGAAAGGCAGGAAAGTTTGAGGAAGGGGTAACATACATGTTCCAGAGGAACTGGCAAGATGAGAAAGCCCAGAAACTCTCAGGACAAGACAGTATTTAGATATTGAGACTGTGATATGAAGGAGAGAAGAAGATATTATTCCTGACATATTTTATATTTATATATATTATCATTTCCCCCCCCCGCCCCCCCGAATGAGTAAACAACAGCGGCAAGATGAACAAGATGAACTAGGTCCTGAATGAGTGGTTGATCTGGCTCGTGGCATTTCCAGGAAAATATACAGGGAAGCACAGGGAGGTGGGAGCGGAATGAGAGACCCCAGCATGCTAGCTCTGGATGTGCCCACGAGAGGCCATGCACAGAGGGAAGGTGGAAGGGGACAGGGTGGAGAGAATGCTGAAAGCCAATTGTCTGTTTCTTTGAAAACACTGAAGTGCAGCTAAAAAGAGCCAGCCTTGGATTATGAGTTAGCAGACCTGGGATTGAATCTGGCCTCTATCACTAACTCACTGAGCACTTAGTCCAGAGCTAAAATTCTTTGAGTCCTGGTTTTTCCATCTACACAGCAACATGATACAGCATTCACACCTATGTTATAAGGGAGTTGTGAGGATTAAATGATATATGATATGCGACATTTTTCTCGGACTACATACGTAGCTTACTATATATTTTATAAATATTATAAACATATAAAATTGCCATTATTTAAGTTTCCTTCCACTAAGGCACCAGCAGCAGCAGCAGTGGCAGGTGCTACCAATGCACCTGTTGTTTTGGTGGGAGGTGCCCCTTGGACTCCAGTTCCTTTCTCAAATAGAAAGTTTGCAGAATGCAGTTTTATGTAGGAAGCATCAACGTTTATTAAGGGCACTACACGAGCAGATCATTGTGTTTACTTAAGTGAAACATACTTGTTGAGAAAAACCAGGTCCTCCCTGTAAGATGCTTAACATTTGTTGGCAAGGGGGAGAGATATAGATACAGTCACAGCTAACTATGATCCTCGGTGGTCGGGTGACACAATAGTGACATAGACAAAGAGTAATGAGAGAGTTCAGAAAGAGCTGAATCCCAACTAGTGGGATGAGAAAAAACTGGATGGATATCTTTGAAACTGGCTTTGAACTAGCTTTGAAAGTTGAGTGAGAAGTACTGGGCTTGTTGTTATAAAGAATTGCTGGAAGTGGGTATAATCCCAGCACTTTGGGAGGCTGAGGCGGGAGAATCACCTGAGGTCAGGAGTTCAAGTGGAACCCTGTCTCTATTTAAAAAAAAAAAAAAAAAAAGCTTGGTGCAGTGGTGCACACCTGTAATCCCAGCTACTCAAGAGGCTGAGGCAGGAGAATCACTGGAACCCGGGAGGCGGAGGTTGTGGTGAGCCGAGATCCCGTCACTGCACTCCAGCCTGGGTGACAGAGCCAGACTCCATTTAAAAAAAAATTGCTGGAAGTGGGAAGTATAGGTGTCACAACCAGGGGGCAGGCAAAGTGCATCTCTACTGAGGACTTTCAGCTTGTCATCTTCCTGGGCTGCTGGAAGAAGGGAAGCACCATTTCCGGGATCTCTGCCTCTCATATCGGTGGCAGCTCCTCCCTGTCCCTGCTATCCTGGATTCACACCTGACGGGCACTCTCACTAGCTTGAAACGACTAGGGCGTTGGAGACCCGACCCTGGTAAATGGGATTCCAACTGGGTCCCCAAGATCCGGGTTTTGTATCTGGTTTCTGCCTTTTGCAGATGTCTGATCCTGAGACTTAGTTTCCCTTTCTGCCACAAATTATGTCACAGCATTTGCTGTAATGATTAAATTAGATAAAACACAAACACACATTAAAAAATGTTGCATGAACGTTACTTCCTGCTCTCATGTTCTGTAGATTTTTTAATGGAGTTATGGGAATAAAAAGAAAAAAAAGTCTTTTTATTTTAATTGACAGGATCAAAAACAAGGGTGTAAGAAACTCTCATAGAATGAACAGAACCAGCAGTGAAGCTGGGCTCTGTTATTATCAGGAAGGTACCCAAGAGTTATCTTTATTGCTCACTTAGGAGTTTTCTTTGCTGTATGCTGGAAGTTATATCTCTTGACTTACAGAGAAGCCCTTTACAAGGTGCAATGATTGGCAAAATTAATTTTGAGCAGTTGAACTTGTTGCCAAGGACAATACAAATGAGGAGGTAGTTATTTTTTTCCTCTTGTGATGTTTTGGGGGCAACTTACAAAAATGGATGAACATTTTATTAAAAAAAAGGAAGCCATGACTTTTCTCTCATCTGCAAACTCTGCATAGGTAGCAAAAAGTAACTCCAGTTCGATGTGCAAACACTGCAGATACCGTGCTCTAGAATTCTACACACATTAAGTTCATCTCATGTAATTGCCTTCCCAGCTCAGAAAGAAAGAATAAAGAAAATCCCAAACTGGCTCCTGGATCGTGTCCAAGATATTTCAAATATGTGGTTATGACATAATATGAGTGGGGTGTTTTATTCCCCCAGGGCTTGGAGAAGGGAAATTCCTGACCACATAATTATATTCTGACCTCATGAAATTTACCCTACCCCTGCACTTTGCATGGATAATGCTATGCGTTTCCTTCTGACTGGGGGCCTTGTGCTATATGGAAAGAGATGTTTCATTTTGTCTACCTACCCCTGGCTAAAGTGACTGCTTTCTGCCCTAACAATGTCTGTCTTCTGTATTGTGTGAGTATTTAGGACATCTGCTGTGTCTGATGTTAAGTGTGCTCTGAACTTAACAAATTGCATTGTAGCAAATTGACAAAACCCTGTTGACATAAAAGCAGACTTGCATGCCTGAAACACAGGCTGGGAATCAGGACCCAATGAACATGTCAACAGTGCAACTTGTCCAGCTATAACAGTCTCAATTTCTAAAGTCGAATACCAACAGGTCTGGAAAAAGAGAGAGGTAGAATCCAGCTAAATAAAGGGTTAGCTGTGCTTGCATTTGGCTGAATGCATCTTGTTCTTAAAATAATTGCACAGTTAGATTTGGATTGTTTTTTTCTGTTTGGTTTTGTTTACATTTGTATATTTTTTCAAGTAGTCCTTTCATAAAATATTTTATGTCTGTAATAACATGCTTAACAAAACTGGCTAATCACCCAATTAAAACATGCATTTCAAAAATAGGTAAAGTAAAACATAGATTGTTTGTATTACTAGGATAGATTGTTTGAGTGAATAACGCTGGTGACCTCCTTTAAACAAACTTGCTCTTTCCAGATCATAAAAGATTTCCCAGAATCAGAAGAAGCACAGACAAGTCGCACTCCATCTGTGGCTCTTTGGTCCACAGATGATTCAGTACTAGGGGCATTTTAATTTTTAGGAGACAGTCTCTCTGATGTTACTCTTAAGTTTGCAATATTTTCATAAATAAAAATATTTTAAGAATAAAGTTGTACTAATAGATGGAGCCTCTAATGTGCCTTATTTCTATTCCTCCTCTTTCTTCTCCAATCAGATTCCTTTCAATAAAGGTAACCATCATGATCAATTGAAAGACTATCCACCCAAACTTTTTTTTCTTTTTTTTGTTTTCTTGACACAGGGTCATACTCAGTCACCCAGGCTGCAGTGCAGTGGTGTGAACACAGCTCACTGCAGCCTTGACCTCCCAGATTCAAGTGATCCTCCCACCTCAGCCTCTCAAGTAGCTGGTACTACAGGTACGTGCAACCATGCCTAGCTAATTTTTTATTTTTTTTTATTTTTTGCATTTTTTGTGGAGACTGGGTTTGGCTATGTTGCTCGGGCTAGTCTTGAACTCCTGGGCTCAACTGATCTGCCAGCCTTGGTCTCCCAAAGCGCTGGGACTACAGACTTGAGCCTTTGTGCCAGACCCATCCAAATTTTTTAACAGGCTTATAAATATTAAACCTGTTGTGTGTGTATGTGTGTTTTTTTCACCTGTACCTATTCTACAACTTACTTTTTTCACTTAATGATATAATTGTAAGAAATTGTTCCATGATAAAACATGTCCTCTTTGAGAAACACTATATTGAGTTCCATGGTATAAATGTACCATAGTGTACCAAGTCATTTTCTTATTGATGGACACTTACGATGCTTTAAACTATTTCCTAGTATAATTATACAATGAAAATCCTTGAATGTGTCATTTTGCATCTGTGACAAGTAGTTTTCCAGGGTAGGTACCTAGAAGTGAAATTTCTGGGTTGAAGGATATGCATATTTTAAATTTTAATAGAAACTGCCAAGCTTATCTCTAAAAATGTACCAGTTTACACTCTCATCAGCAGTATTTAAGAACCTGTTTCCGTACACCTGAGCCAATGTTTGCTATTCATATTATTTTAATAGTTTATAAACTAATGAGTGAAAGTGATATCTCACGCTTTTAATTTGCCTTTTAACTGGGTTGCTAATTGAGCAACTTTGCATTTGCCATGATCTCATTGATCATGCCTATAATATAAAATGAGGGCTGGGCACGGTGGCTCATGCCTGTAATCCCAGCACTTTGGGGGCCGAGGTGGGTGGATCACTTGAGTCCAGGAGTTCAAGACCAGCCTGGGCAACGTGGTGAAACCCCATCTCTACTGAAAATACAAAAATTAGCTTGGCATGCTGGTGTGCGCCTATAATCCCAGCTACTCTGGAGGCTGAGATGGGAGAATTGCTTGAACCTGGGAGGCGGAGGTTGCAGTGAGCCGAGATGACACCACTGTGCTCCAGCCTGGGCAACAGAGCGAGACTCCATCTCAAAAATAAATAAATAAATAAATATATAAATAGATAAATAATTTGGGTACATGCCTATAGTACAAAAAGCTCAGGTGCTCAAAGAGTTATAACAAAAAGAAAGTATCAGCCCTCTGATTCTTTCCTTTTTCTGTTGTTTCTTTCTCGGAAGACAAAACCTTTCACACTATGGTTGTTTCTGCCTCCATATTTAAAAATAACGTTTATGCATTGCTTTTTAGATTCTTCATTTTTCTGTATTATTTAATGACTTCTGAGGCAAACCTGCAAGTTTTCTAGCCAAAATCCATTCTCCTATTCTTGCCTATCACAGTCTTTTATATAGTAGATGATGACAATGTCACCAGCAAAGGAACTGTTTATCATTTTTTTAACTTTCCTTTTTATCTTTAATATTTTCTTATTGGTTTTCATGAGTTATTTATATAGTAATGTCATTAGCCTTTTTCTTATTCAATTTGTTGCAAATATTTCTCTCTAGTTGTTCACATATGTTTTTATTTGATCTATTATTATTTTTGGTGTATGCAAATTTGCATTTTTATAAAGTTACTTTTATTAGTGTTTCTACTGCAGTTTCCTCTATTGCTTTTTTTTTTAAGAAAACACTTTCCACACTCAGAGAGGTTTAAAATATTTATCTGTATTTTCTTCTAATTGGTTTTACATTTAATTCTTTAATTGGAATTTGTTTTAATGTGCATGTATACTAATGTTTTCATTTGTCTTACAAATGGTTTAATATTTTTGCAACATCTTTTGTACACAAAGAGAACTCTTCCACATTGCCTTGTGGTGCCCCCTGTAACAATTAGTAATTTATTGCTTATTTGTGGACTATCCATTCAGTTTCACTAGGCTGCCTTTTGGTTATTTGGCCAATGTTATGCTTATTAAATGATCACAGCTTTATAAGATAACTTAGTCTCTGTAAAGGTAAGTGAATACTTCATTAACCTTTCGTCCCAAATATAGCTATATTGCTTCAACGTTTATTTCCTGAAGAACTTTAGAATATTTTGGCTAATATTCAAAATATTTAAATGGAATTTTTATCTAGATTGTATTATTCTTATGCTTTACTTTTATAAAATGCTAACTTGCTGGAAAAATTTAGTCTTCCCATCTGGAAACATAATTTACTCAAATATTTTTATCTTCAATTTTGTAGTTTACCTTACAGAGAGTCCTTGCATATAGTTTTAGTTTTTTTTTTTTTTTTTGTAGGTAGTTGATATTTTCTGCTTATTTCTGTAAAATTAATTTTACTTCCACTTTGTCTTTTAAAGTGGCATACAGGAAATCTGATTTTTTTTCACATTTTCACATTCTTTTACATTGCATGTAGCCATTTACTGATCTCGAATAAATTATAAGAGCTTTTAAATTGATTCTCCAGTGGTTGGTGGGATATAATTAGATTTCAAATCTGGCTATCCTTTAGCTTGTCATAGTTTTATTAATTACTCCTGAGCTGTATATCTGAATCTCTTTTATACTACCATACAGTAGTGGAGGGTGGGGGCTCTGATGAAGCCCTCACCTAGTAGGAAAGGCTAGAAATAAGTGTTGGAAGAAGGTTTAAATATTGCCAAGATGAACAGTCCGAGTTCATTTCAGGCAGAAGACATGCGCAGAAACACAAAAGCATGAAAAAGGCAGATACAGTAAGGGGATTGGAAGTAGTTTGGCACGGCTGGATGTAGGACGTATGACTCAAATCCCAGTTGCATGGTGCATGCTTTCCTCTAGGTTGTCTGCCGTCTTCACTCTGCTCTCATCTCCCGCCATTTCGTCTATGAATAGGCCACACTGTGCCTCGTGCTATTCCTTGTCTTTCCTGCTCACATTCATGCTGCAAACTCCTACTCACCCTTCAATGTCCTGCTCAATAGTTTTCCAGGCCCCCAATGCTAAAGGAAGCAATGATTAGTATATGACAATACAGTTTTCTATGACATGAACATATTTGTCTCCCGTCCTAACCAGGGTGCAAAAACAGAGTCTTTCTTATCTATCTTTCATCATTTAGCCAATTGGCACATACAAGGCAGACTGAAATTGAATTTGAGCTTTTATAATTCAGAAGGATATTCCAGTTGCCTATTATTATTTTTACTATTATTTGAGATGGAGCCTCGCTCTTGTCACCCAGGCTAGAGTGCCGTGGTGTGATCTTGGCTCACTGCAACCTCCACCTCCCAGGTTCAAGTGATTCTCTTGCCTCGGCCTCCCAAGAGCTGGGATTACAGGTGCCAACCACCACGCCTAGCTAATTTTTGTATTTTTTAGTAGAGATGGGGTTTCACCATGTTGGCCAGGCTGGTCTCAAACTCCTGACCTCAGGTGATCCACGCACCTCAGCCTCCCAAAGTGCTGAAATTACAGGCATGAGCCACCACGCCTGGCCCCCAGTTGCCTATTATATGCACGTGGTATTTCCTTCCTAGAGTTAGTTATCCTGATTGAAACCCACCATGTTTTGCTATGTTTTGTTATTCTTCTATAGCCCCCTTATCTGATTGATGTTGTTTTTAGCATTGTTCTTTGCTTTTCACTTGTTGGCTTCTGAACTGTTGGTTCTAGCCCATAAGGAAGAATGAGCCAGAAAATTTTGTATTATTTTTGTAGCATGAGGGAGACAAAATTCATGCATTAGAAAGGCCAGATAGGAAAATCAAATAAAATGTCTGCCCGCAGCAGGGAGGGCAACCGATTATACTCTCCTAGGAAAACTTTTGTTTGTTTGTTTTTAACTTTTGCTTTTGTGAAGGAGTTCAGCTTTGTTCAAGTTACAGAAGTGAAGAGCTACATGCGACATAGAAAAAGACATTTTCTTGAGCATTTCTTAATTAGGAAAGTTTCTAATCAGTTACTCCTGACACAGTCACTTTAAATACTGCATTATCACATCTGCAGGCTTTGGGGAAAATGGAAGTGAAAGGCTTAGCAATATCTACACTTTAAGATGTTCATTGGCATTAGAGGTGTCTCTAAATATGATAATGCAGGTTGGTTTAAAATAGATAAATAAAATGATTTTCATCTTCATCTAGTGCCAAGGAACAGTTGGGCTGAATATTGGATTGAGCCTGACATCTGTTATGGAGTTCAACCAGAGGAAGCTGGCTTGAACTTGTTGTTGGTTAATTACCCTTCTTGGAAGGCCAGAGAGGCTGGAGAGGTTGCTCGCTGGCTCAGTGAACTGCCATGAGGGATGGATGAAGCAAGGCTGTAACATGAGGTGACCAAATGCAGATGAACTGCAGAGGCTGAGTACAGAATCATGCCCACAGAGGACCACTGAGGGATAAACCAGAGAATCAGATCTGCAGTCAACTTCCAGGGCACAGGTCAGGAATGGAGTTGGGCTGAGGAGCATGGTACAGGGGACCCACAAGGGACTAGGGCTTCTCCTGTGACTGATCCTAGGGCCCCCAACTTCCTCTTGATGACCATATGCAAAGTCAGGCTTTGGATAGAAAGACACTGCTTGGTGCCTGGGCAGACTGATGGAAATGTTCTTAATTCTTCACCAAGCCCGTGATAAAGATATTAAATCGTACTGACCCTATAGGGTCACTCCATGGGGCATTATGCTATTTAAACTAGATGACAGGTACTTCAGTTCACTGCATTTTGAATGAGTATTTACTCAGCTGCTTAACATTAAATTAAATGAGAAAAATAAAAGGAGGCAAGAAGGAAGTAACATAGGATCAGGTTTTTACCTATTTATACTGAGTTTTATCAAACATAATCACTTAGATTCCACTACCAAGGGCTGGCTATTAGCCACAAATTTGAAAAGTGAGGCTAGGTTGTCCTATGATCATAACAAAAGTGCATGCTGTTAATTTGACAGAGAAGAGAGAAAAGCTGTAAAAGGAAGACACATGTTTCTACAAAGCACCCCAGGGATATGGAGGAGAAACAAGCAGTTTTAGACTTCAAAAGCTGTGATGACATCATTTTATGACTTCACATGTCATTTATTAGTAACAAGGAGACTTGTTGACATTTATTAGATACTTATTCTATGCCAGCCACTCTTTCCAGGACTTTGGACATGTAGTCTCTGTTAATCTTCACAGAATTGCTAAGAGTTAGTTACTATAATTCCATTTTATAGGTCAAGAAATTGAGGTTCAGGGAAGTTAAGAAACTTGTCCAAGGTTACACAGCTGATAAATGACAGAGCCAGAATCAGACTCAGTGTAAAAGCTTTTTATACATTCTCTTATTCAAATATCTCATCAGAAAGTTAGTATTTGTATCTTCATTTTATACATTTGGGGATCAAGGTTCAGAGATGTAATGCAAATTACCTGAGGTCACATGGTAAATACAAGCCAGGAGTCAAAATTGCATCTGTGTTACCCCGTAATGTGGTACATGGAAGACACCACACTGTCATTTCTCTCTCATTCTGGCCAAAAATACATAACTGAAATCTAAGTATGCGGAGACAATCAAACCAGTCCTCACTGAGTGGCGTTAAGCAAAATGACTGGACCGTACTCAACAGCATCAATGTCATGAAAGGCAAACAAAGATGGGGAATTAAAAAACTGAAGATACACATTAGCTGGTTGGGATGTGGATTTTGTACTGCATCTGTGTTAAAATACATCATCTACAAAGGACAGTATTAGGGCAGTTGGGGAGATTTGAGTACTAATAATTTTTTAGACAATTGTATTGTGTTAGTGTTAGATTTCCTTGAGTACAATAGCTGTATTGTGGTTTTATAAGGGAATGTCCTTGGTCTTTAAAGATAGCCTGCTGAAGTATTTAGGAGTTGAATGTGATGATGCCCATAACTGCCTCTCCAATAGTTTAGTTAAAAAGTGTGTGTGTGTATGTGTGTGTACACATCCGTATGTATATGCATGTATATATGTATGTCTGTATGTGTCTATCTATCTATATGTATATTTGTGTGGTGACAGAGAGAGAGAAAAGAAATTTTAATAATTGATAAATTTAGTTGAAAGGTATATAAGTGTTTTCTGCACTATTCCTGCAACCTTTCAGTAGATTCATTTTTTTTTCACAAGTTTAGAAGTTGGTGGCAAATACCTCTGTCTGGATGACTCCCCAGCTCCACTTCTTCACCTCTACTCTAAGGTGCACAAGGTCCACACTGAAGATCTGAACCACGAGTAAAAGGATGGATTGCTCTTCCTCTAGCTATAATGAGCACCACTTAATACTTACTGTATATTCCATCAACAAATGTTTTATTGGGCGCTTACTCTATACCAGGAACCCCCTCTGGGCCCTGAGGATAAATAATGATAAAACAAAGTTCCTGACCTTGTGGGGTTGGGGAAACTAGCGTAGAGGACAGAAAATAAATAGTTAAATGAAGAAATGCTTACTATAACTTCAGCCACAGATGAAATAGGACATAGCTCAGAGAATGATGAGAAAGAACGTATGGCTACTTAGATAAGGGATCAAGGAAGGCCTCTCTGGTGAGGTGATGATTAGGCTGAAATTTGAATAAGATGAGGGAGCAAGTCCATGGCAGATATGGAAGGAGTGTGTTCCACACCAGGGAAGAGCAAGTGCAGGCCCCATAGTGAGACATTCTGGAGCCACCCCAAGCACTTCATATATCTTTTAATCTCACTAAAACCTCTCCCCACTTTAGTTTTATTTTGTTTTTGTTTATTTTTCAAAACGTGCACTATGCTTTAGCAAGATTCCCTTAGAGCATAAAATAGCATTTTTCCTTAAGGTGCAATCTTTGCTTTTCAGAAAATGTAGGCAAGGAAATATACGTACTGTTGAAAGACATTTAGGTGTAAGAAATGTCACATCTCATTCCTTTTAAAAACGAAATCTAACAGGTTCTTTCTCCATATTCCAAGTTTGAAAAGAAATATAGTTCTACTCATTTTCCTTGAGGTTACTCTTATCTTCTGGTTTCTATAGGAGTTTGAGGATTCACACAGCACAGGCCACTTGGGAAAGTGGCTCTACATTTGGATCATCTACTGAAATGCTCTTACTTTAGACTTGCTCCCCCCAAATTTTTTTGTGTGTATTAATTTGGAAGAGCACTTCATACTGATTTGGTCAGTTATGTATATTACCGGCAAATATTCTTTTTTTTTTTTTTTGACAGAGTCTTGATCTATCTTTTATCCAGGTTGGAGTGCAGTGGCGTAATCTTGGCTCACTGCAACCTCCGCCTCCTGGGTTCAAGCCATTCTCCTGCCTCAGCCTCTCAAGTAGCTGGGATTACAAGCAACCACCAGCATGCCTGGGTAATTTTTTTTTTTTTTGGTAGTTTTAGTAGAGATGGGGTTTCGCTATGTTGGCCAGGCTGGTCTCAAACTCCTGACCTCAGGTGGTCCACTTGTCTCGGCCTCCCAGAGTGCTGGGATTACAGGCGTGAGCCACCATGCTCAGCCTCATTTCATTTTTGGCTTTAGCTTTTGACAACCTATTTTCAATATTATATAAATAATAACCTATGCATTTTTCCTAGAATTATTATAGTTTTACTACAATTAAATCTTAAATTTATTTAAAACTAATGTTGATATGGGATGTAAATCTAATTTTATTTTACTTAAAATTTGTTGACAATAAGAACAAATGCAAAAAGAATTAGAATTTTAATAGTACAGTTTACTTGGTCATGAATGCCATATTCACGTCAAAATCTTGTATATATAAGGAGAATTTGTGGTAAGATGATTCGTGTTTAAGGACTTTAAAGCCTCTTCAAGGAAATAATCCTGAGTGAACTATTAATAGGACACAAATACTTTTGCATTCCATGAAAACAAAGCAATAAAGTCAATGCACTAAGTAAACAGATAATCAGTACAGTTTATACTATTAACAGGTAATAGAAAACAGGCAATTTTCTTTTATTCTCTTTTGTTGTTCAGAAACTCTTCAAGGTCTCGTGTCTTAGTCCATTCAGTCTGCTAAAATGAAATTTCATAAGCCGGTTGGCTTAAAAACAACAGAAATGTACTTGTAACAGAAACAGTTTGGAGGCTGGGCAGTCCAAGATCAAAGTGCTGGCAAATTCAGTTTCTGGTAGGAGCCTGATTTTTGATTTATAGATTGTGACTTCTTGCTGTGTCCTCACATGGTGGAAGTGGCAAGACAGCTCTCTGGAGGCTCTTTTATAAGACCATTAACCCCACTCAAAAGGGTTCCACCCTCATGACCCAATCGCCTCTCCCAAAGGCCCACCTCCTAATACTATCCCATATGCCATTAGGTTTCAACATACGAATTTTGGGGAGGCACAGACATTCGGATCATAGCATAGCACCCCCATTCTTTGCAGATGTAATGAGGTGCCTATCTTTTTTTAAAACCATTTTTAGATATTATGCAGGGTAAGGGATATTTTTTCATGTGCTTGACCTATACACAAATTTTCAAAATATTTTTTTTGCTTGAAATTTACTTTATTCTTGTGGATATTAAAATATATATTCCATGGAAATCAATAGAAACTACAAACATGGAAAAATAAGGAACCGGTTTATATTGCCACCATTCAGAGATACCTAATGTTATTCATTTTGATTCATGCCCTTCTGTTTTTTCCCTTGTAGGCGTATTCACAGTTTTACCAAAACTTGTTTTTTTATATATTGTTTGGTAGTCTTTTATTTAACCTAACTTAACAATATATTGTGACATCTTCCCATATTATTAGATGTGATTTTTCTATATATATTCCAGTGCATTTCAATTTGATAACTCAGAATGACTTGTGACTTTTATGTACTCAAACTGCAATTCTCATTAATGTGTAAAAAGTACATAGAATTAAAATCACGTGTACTAGAATTTTGCATATAGAGAATTTGCAGGAGAGTAAGTATTATAATAATGGAAATTAGTAGATGCTAAGTAGATAAAGAAACATTGCTAAGGTCTGTGAACTTCCTGTTGAGAAAACTGCCTAAAGATTTATCTGTACATAAATGGAAAGTGTGCAGGTTTTTGCAGGTGTGCATGTGTGTGTGTTTGCAAATAAACTCCTTTTTAAGAACCTGCCTTCAAGTCTGGCCTCAGTTTTCTGTAAATGAAAATAGAGAAAAAAAAAAAAACAGCGAAGAAAAGCGATTCAGGAAGAACAACAGAAATAATTTGATATGGAAAATAAGACCCCTTATAAATGGAAACCAAAAAGAGTTTACTGAGTTTGAAGAAGAAAAGACTTAGGACAGATTTAGGGATTCCTGAAAGGCTTGTATTTCACCTAAACATAGATAGAATAATGCATAATTTAAATTGTAGCAACAGTGAGTTTAATTAGGCCAAAGAATGAACTTTTGAATCATTAAATTAAATGCTAGAATGTAGCATCTAGGATCTCTAACTGGAAATTTAAAAAACTTATGGAATCTGTAAATGGGAATCTTAACACTTCAGATCTCTGATTGTTTGAGTCAAGGGTAGGGTAGAAAACAATCTGTTTAAATTTCTTTCAGTTATAAAATTTACATGTTTACTTGAAATTTGGAAAAATATAGAAAATTTGAACAGAATGCATGAAATTCTACTGCAATAGACTTTTTTTTAGCCAATACACACACTTTCTTTCTACAGAATCTCATAGCACATATTGATTTGTGTAATTCCATTTTTTTTCATTTAACAGTACAGTATGCCATAAGAATTTTTGCTATCTTGAAACATTTTTGAAAAATCCATTTTGAATGGCTGTGTAGTATTCCACAGTATGGCTCTGCCCTAGCTTATTCCAGCCCCTTAATGCAGCTCAAGCATCAAACTCAGGGTTTGATGATGCTGATGCATGAGTTTGAGAGAGTTCCGATGTTGGATCTGGGAGAGCTGTCTGCCTTTAAGGATGATCCTGCCTCTTTGACTCACCCTCAGTGCGGTTCCCAGAGGCAGTGCTCTGTGCAAGCCTCCTCAGCTGCACTCATGACATACTGAAAAGCTATTACAGATAAAAAGGCTTAATCTTCATTCAATCTGGCCTCAAAGAGACCGATAGGGCTTTCAGGAACTCTAATGGCCTTCAAGATAAGTTTTCTATTCCAATCCAAGCCCATTCCACACAGGCATTCTTTCTTCTGCATTTTCTCAGACTCAAGTCTCTCCAAAGTCACTTGTTTGCCTCTGCTCCCTTTGGACTTTATAACATATTCATTTATGTTAAGAATTTCCATATTCATATTTGTCATTAATAATCCACTTTGTGAATAAGGCATGCTCTTTCCAGGGTAAATAGGGAAGGAAAACAGCGTTGTCAGCTGAGAAATAATCAGCTAAGCCTTCTCAGGTCCACTGTGAGATTTGATGATGCCATTTCTAGAATTCTGTGGCAGAGCTGGGGGTGATGTTAGGCACAGCCCCACACCGTCTGCGGTCAGGTAGAGAATGCAGATGTTCTTGTTTATCAAAATCCAAACATCTCTCTATAGGTCCAGAAAATGTTCCACTAATTCATTCAATGGTATTTTGACTCTTTTGATGTCCATCAGATATTTGATAGCAAACTCTGTTTATAAATGAGGATCCCATGTGATTTTGGGGGGTTAAGTGTGTTGCATAGAGTGTGGTAACTCTAGGCTGCAATATAAAGGGAATAACACTGAAATCTTCTGAAAGCAGCCTGGGTCACACGAGATTCCTGACAGAGATTGCAACACATAGGCAAGACGGTTGGAATTTTCTTATATCTTCTTCTAGTTGCCCAGGTTTAAAATGATAACCAGAAATGGAAAAACAGTTGAAGAACTTATTCTAACCATAGAAAAATGGTTAACCCAGGATATAAGTGACTTAGATATGATGAGATTTTTGTATGCCCAGAGCCTAGCATATAGCAGGACACTTAGTAACATGATATGCATTGATTTGAATTGGATTCTAATATGTAAATCAGGATTCAAAAAGCCAGAGTTGTAGTGCTGCCCTACATCTAAATGGTCTGATTTCTTTCTGGAGTTCACTTCCTCCATGGGGTGCTGAAGTTAGATCAAGGTTTGCCTGAGTAGATGTCGTGGGTCACTACTTGCTTTTCTGCTGTGCCCCAAATGGTCTTAGCATCTTTCACATCCCAGAACACCAGGAAGCCACTACCAATCAATAGACCTGGCACAAGTTGAAACTAGTTTCCCACCTCTTGCCTGAATCACTGATGGCCCCTTCTATCACTTTCTTCCTGTGATCTATCATTTATAATTGTAAATCCCCATTTCTTAGAACAGATTTTTTTTGGCCCATTTTTCTAGCCTTACTGGAGAAGAATGACTCCTGCAGTGTCTCCAAGAAGATGCCCTCTGAGTTCTGGCTTCAGATGCTTCCCTGACAGACCAGAGGGCTCTTGTCTTCTTCACTCTCTGCTTTCCCCTGATCCTGCCCTTGACAATGATCGAGTTCTTGCCATTTATGTGAGTTATCTTAGGGTAGTAGTCTCAAACCACAGCTATGTGAGTTGTCATGCTGGGAGCCAAGCTGAGGAGTTCCACAACTGAAACCAAGTGATCATGCATGCTTTCCAATTAGGAGAGAAAAAAGGCGTTGATTGGGAAAAATCATTTTTTAAATTTTAAGTACCTACATTTTATCTTAAAGCTTTGATATCTACCTTTATCATCTGTTTAAACTAGTAGCTGGTATGAAAAGGTTATAATTTAATTTACCACAAAAATATCTATTTGGTTATTACAAGTTTAATACATTAGTGTTTAAAAATGTTCCAGAAAGCACTTTCCAGGTGCTTTGCAGTTGAATATATTTAAGAATCATTTCCCGAGACTGTTTGCTTTCTGAAACCAGAGACCATGCTCAGATGAGCTTTGAACCAGAGTGAGTGTGGAAATTCCTCCAAGTGCTCTCTTCTTCTTGAGACTGGACAATGTCCAGCCTTGCCTTTTTGGACTGGGGCTAGGGCTGGGAGGACAAGGTCCCCATCATGTTTCAGAAGCAGAGGTAACTGATCACATTCAGTCACTGTGACTTTTCTGGTTACGGAAGTTATGATAGGCCCTGAGTGAAGACGATTGCCAGCCCTAGCCAGGTCATAGGTGTGTATAAAGAGGACACTCACCTCCAAGATCAACCCTGCCCAACTCTGAGGTAGTGCAGATACTCTGTCTCATATTCCACCACTGTATTGAGGATTGTAGCAATTAGCCTACGGAGCTGTCATTCATGGTCTAGGAATTTAGACCTAAACCCTAAGAGAATTTTCTAATTCCTGTCATATTCCTGTCATTCGTGGTCTCTTAATCCAAGTATCCACAATGACTTACTTCCCAAGCCCTGGATGCTAACTGGAAACAGGTATTACAAAACTGGAGAACATGGCTTTCTCTTCTGATTGTTCAAGAAATTTATATGCTTATGCTGAAAACCATTATTTCTTGAGATCTCGATGTTTTTTTCTTCCTTATAAGATAACTTGTTGAGCTTGCCCATAGACTTTGGCTGGCTTCCAGGGCACAATGCTCTACCTGGGCGACTTGAGCATACAGTTTGCCCGCCCTAGATGAGGAGAATCTGGTTCTGTTTCCCAGTCTTTTTTATTTAGCACCTATCTGGCATCAAGCCTTTTCATGCCTTCTCCAAATTACATTACCAATAGGCAATACATGGTCAACGTCTTTCTGGGAAGTCCAAGACTTGTGCATGGAACAAAGAATGTCAATTCAGGAAGGAAAGTAAAACATGTGAGTCAAATGAGCTATCTGGACAAGTGCGGACAATGCTTCTCATTTTTTCTTGGCCCACGGTAACACATTTTGATTGGTGGATGAGCCACCGCAGATATTAAGCTAGTCAGCTACTGGCACCGGCACTTAAAACCTCAGGCTGCCCTTTTCCAAATGGTACTTAATGTGGCTAAGGACTCCCTTTCAAGTATCCAAATTGTGCCTCTAGCACAGGTCATTTGAAAAGATCTTTGAATTCTGAAGGTCAGTGGTCACCTGCCTTTTCCCTCCAGAAGATCCTACTCAAAGCTTTCTCATTCTAAGTGTCTCTCAGCAAATGCTGGCATGAGTGGGTTCTGAGAGTGTTGGGGGCTCCACAGCTGAGATAACACAAAGAAGATCTACAGCCATTCATCCTGACATTGGCAGGGTCAGTCTTTCTCCTGAGTCTGAACTACAGAGTATAGCAGACCCTTTCTCATCAGAGCAGAGTGATCTATTTCTGCTCATTACGAAGGGCATAGATTCTCTGTAGGAAAACAACTCTATCCACTCTTATTCCACTTGCTTAAGAGGTTCAAGGGAAACCTTGGTTATTCCTTTCCAGAAACCTTCCACCTTTACCAGACATAGTCACAACAATAGCTATTCTTTATCAAGAATTCAATATGTGCCAGGCTCTGTTAATATGCATTATTTTGTGAGACTCTCATAACAAGCTATCAGAAATTTCTATTTTATGAATGAAGGGACTGAGCTACAGAGTGATATAGTCACTTTCCGAAGGTCACAGAGCTTAACAGTGGCAGATTTGAATCTCAGATCCTTGAGCCCATTTTTGGAACCACCATACAAACTTGCTCTATCTTTAAAAGTTGCCCTTGGGAAGCGGAGCTTGCAGTGAGCCGAGATTGCGCCACTGCAGTCCGCAGTCCGGCCTGGGTGACAGAGCGAGACTCCGTCTCAAAAAAAAAAAAAAAAAAGTTGCCCTTGGAATTTGACCCAGCAATCCCAAAGGATTATAAATCATTCTACTATCATTACACATGCACACATATATTTATTGTGGCACTGTTCACAATAGCAAAGACTTGGAACCAACCCAAATGCCCATAAATTTTAGACCAGATAAAGAAAATGTGGCACATATATGCTGTGGAATACTATGCAGCCATAACAAAGGATAAGTTCATGTCCTTTTCAGGGACATGGATGAAGCTGGAAACATCATTCTCAGCAAACTAACAAAAGAACAGAAAACCAAACACCCTATGTTCTCACTCATAAGCGGGAGTTGAAAAATGAGAACACATAGACAGACGGAGGGGAACATCACACACCTGGGCCTTTCGGGGTTTGGGGGACTGGGGAGGATAGCATTAGGAGAAATACCTAATGTAGATGACAGGTTGATGGGTGCAGCAAACCACCATGGCGTCTGTATACCTACGTAACAAACCTGCACTTTCTGCATATGTACCCCAGAACTTAAAGTATATTAAAAAAAATTTGCCCTTGGTTTCATTTTCTAGTGACAGAACAAGAAAGAAAACCCAAGTTAACCACATCCCCTTTGTTTTTTTAACATGTAATATTTCAAAGCATCTTCTAAAATACCGTATTCTCTATGACTGTTGCCATTTCACAGATGGACAGTGTCACAGGGGATTGGCCAGATGGCCATGTGCAAAGGCTCGGATCTAGAGAATGGTAGGGATGGTTTCTGAACTCTGCATGTTAAATAGCATGTGCTGCCTCACTGGGCAGAAAGACAAAGAAGGCAGGATGTACTTAGTAGTCTGTTCATGCAGTCTCTTCATCCTGTCATTCAATAGATATGTATGGACACTACAAAGTGCTGCCACATTTCAAAGGGCAGGATCTTTGACACTCAACCACTTCCTTGGGATGTCTGAAGCATTTGCAAGTAATAGGTGTTTAATGGATTCCTAATGATACATGGGGCAGGCAGAGCTTATTCCTGTTTAGGGGCGAAGGTGAACCAACTGTATGCCCCAGGATGGGTAAACCAGGCTCAAATGAGAGAAAAAAACATCCTGGACCTTGCTTTCCCTGGCGCTTTCAAAGTGCTATTTTTGTCAGGATGATGATTATTTCATTCGCATTCCTCAGATCTGATTCCCTTTTCTCCCCCTCACCCTGCATAGCTCTTAAGCTATGCAGTACACCCCACAGATTCCACCACAGAAGGTTTCAGGCTGCATTTTCATCCAAGGGAGTGGGGGAATGAACTGGGAAAAGGGGTGATGATGATGTTCCTTCCTCTCCATCGGAGCACACTCACACCAATACCCAGATGTGTTCATGCACATGCCTGGAGACCTGCATGGACACACACTGTCTAAACACAAGCAAAGACAAACAAATAAACCCTCAGACCCCTAGGATGATGCATACATGGACATACATATGCATTACACCCACAGCCAATCACATACAAACACATTTTTGCAATATGTCATCTGCACCCAATTGCTCTTGTTCATTGTGTCTTCCAATATTCTTAAGGTTGGTAAGAAGGTGGCTGCTTATTATTAACATTTTGTGGTGGGTGACTGCTGTTCTTATTTTAGAGGAAAAAGTGCATCTCATTTAGACATCAGGATTCCTATGTGAATGGTAGATATTGTTTCTCAGCCGTACCAACCCAGAAGACAAACAGACACCCAGGGCTCAGTCATCCTCCCTCTTTTCTTTATGGCAGGAGGGAATCACTTTCACCAGGACCCACAGCAGGTAGGTACTCATCTCACCTCCTAGCTCTCACCCTTCTGAAGTCAGGACGCAAACATACCAGGAATTGGCTTCCTAATTTCCTTTTTCTCTAAATATCAAGCAGCTCCACAATTTCAAAGACCCGCCCCCAGTAATTTTCCTTTTGCCAAGCTTCCCATCCTAAGGCTGGTCACGACCCAGGGTGAGGTAGAGAAAAAACGCCCTGATCCTCACCATCTGCAGGAAAGTGGCGAGGCCTCGTCTGGGGGCCGTAGCCTCCCTGTTCTGGGACAGACCTGCCTGGCCTGCCTGGAGGCCCAGCCAATGTTTTCACAGCTGTGGGCTGGGAGGGCTGCTCCCCAAGCTCCTTGCACACAGTTGGCCTGTGACCCAACAGCTGTGCACACCCAGGCATGACCCCGGTCCCTGTGAGGAGTGGGGGACCTGGCCAGTGCACCCCAACTGGAACTGGCCAGCCTTGCCTGTGCCGGCTGCATCTCACACTTCTGACCCGCTTTGATAATGCAGCTATTAAATGGTCCTCACATGGCTTCCTTGGCCTTCTATTAACTCCCCAGGCAGCAGCGACAGCCTTATTAACTGAAAATGGCTTTTTGTAGCAGTGTTCCATTTCTAATATTAATAATCATTGTTTAATAAAAACAAAGGGGGAAAATACAGGCAGAAAAAACAGACTGCTTTTCTCCTTTGTCATTTATCACCCTGGCAGGAGGCCACAGACGATGCCAACAACAGCAGTAACAGCAGAGTGGTTAGCTCCATGCCAGGGACACAGAGGCATGTGCACACATGTGCACATGCACGCATACACTCACATTCACACACATACACACACACCTGTTCCTGAAGTGGCACTTCATTCATCACATGGCCAATGTCAGGCTTAGAACCTCCTCCTCCCTTCCCTCCCCACCTTCCTCTGTCTCCAATCCTGCGTCTTCAGTGACTTCAATGGTCCAGAATGGTATCATTAGCTGACGTCTTTCAAAAAAGAGAGGAAAGAGGGGGCTGCTGGCTATGGCATCGTCTCTACTCTCTTCTTTTACCCTTCCCATCAGGCCAGTCATCTGTAAGACCAATGGCTCATTCCTGCCAAGGCCGAGGAGAGTGGAGTTAAAAATGTAGTTAATTAAATTTACTCAAAAAGATCAACTCTCCAGATCAAGAGCTGGGTTTATCGTCACTAAAAATAAACAGGGCAGGGGAAGAGAGGATGGAAGAGAGGGGAGCGGGGAGGCGGGTGGGGCCAAGAGGGACTTGGGGCTTTGGATCCTTGGATGCCGAGCTGATATTTAAAGACCTTTTACATTGTGAAAGATCTCAGAGAACAGCTGACATCTCCTGGGGGCCTGGGGAGGTTTCTATGATAACAAACAATCCCACTTTAGAGGTGAGGGGACTGTTCCCTCTTTGGGTTTGCAGAAGCCTGTAGGAAGACGAGTTCTTTGTTCATGGTGAGGAGTGTAGATCTTCAATTTCCTCCTTCAACCTCTCATCTAGCACCCACTCCCCATTCTCTTCCTCTATCTAAGAGCAGAATAATCTCTAAACAGAAAACTTACGCATAGAGCAAAGGCTCAGGCAGTGGTCCTGCAGGGGTAATGCTTTATAGCTCCTACTTTTCCCAGTACACTCCAGACCTTGCACCACCAGGACACCCACTCTCCTCCTCTGAGGAGCTGCAATATCCCCTGTGTAGGGTCAACTGGCAAAAGACATGTGGATGCCTTTGAAGAGTCCCTCAGCGAGGCTCATCCAGGTGAAATGTGGAGCCTACAGAAGGACTTTCCTGTCAATCAGAGTTCGTGCTCTGCTATCTCACCCCTTCACAGCACAGGCTGCTCTCCCACTGCAGGGCTCCTATTCCTCCTTCAAAACCTTACACCCATGTCACTTCCTCCATCCCTCTTCATCCACTCCCAAGGCAAAGTGGATCTATCTGTCTTTTGCTAATTCAGTCCCCACTCTCACTGTTGGGTGCTTTGCCTTCTTGCTTACCTCCCTACTCAGCCGCACGCCTCCTCACCTTGCTCTGCTCAGCACTCGGGTCATGGTCCTGAGTGGAACTCCAATGCTGAGCCAGAGGCAGAGAAACCAGCAGATGGAGTGTCTGAGGGGAGAAGGTGGGAAGCATGTGTGTCAAGTCGGGTTTGCATGTTGGTTTAGCCATGGGTGGCCTGAAACCAAAGAGCCCTGTGAATTCATCAAAGTGTCAGTGACCATTGACAAAGGACTTCCTGGCTTGAAAAATGGCTGTCACCCTCCTATCCTGAGCTTTACCTTGGAAACATCAAGAGAAGAAACTCGGTGCCTTTTAGATTAATTTACTCATCAAGATGTCATTCTGCAAAAGTTATTTGCTAGCTGCGAGTCTCTCCAAGTTCCCTTGCTCTGAGCAGGAGGTCACCCTCTGCCAAACACAAACAAGCAGGGATTCTGGGGGAGTGGAGTCTGTGTTGGGGGCTTGGAATCCTGGATGCAGAGGCAGCTCCCTGAAGCCTCGGCCTCTGGGAGTGCTGCAGTTAAGGCACTCTCTTGTCACACAAATTCCCCTTAAGGGCAGGCTGGGAGAGAAAAGAGGACTGCAGAATAAACTTTGATAGGGAGAAAGAAGAAAAAAGAATCCCCCGTAAGCAGAAGATACACAGCACATCAAAGTTACTTTTTCCCCCAAGAGACAGACATAAGCTCAAAAAGCCATCATCTACCAGGATATTAATGTCGTTACTTTTTCATTTCTTATATTTAATATCCAAGGAAACCCGGCAGTGTAATAAAGCCACTCTATGGAAACACCAGTGCGAGGTGAGGACAGGGAGGAGCAGAGCTTCTGAGTCACACAGTCTGCTGAGCTCTGCCTCCCAGTCATTGATACACTCCAAAGGGCAGCGTCTCTTCAGGCCCTGTGGGCTGTTCTGCAGAAATGAAAAAAGCAAGAACCAATCTCACCCCCTGCCCTAACTCTGGGCCATTTCCTTCAGTGTCCTGGGGAGAGTGTCAGATAATCAGAACACAGCAGAACACAGCCTGTCTGCAAAGGCTGTCATGCTTTCCAGACCTGGAGAACACACAAAATAATGTCAGGCTTTTTACCCACCCTGGAGAGTTCAGCTCTCTTCACCTCCTGCATGGGATCTGGGCCTACCAGCTACGTAGAAATCAGGCCCTTGTCACCTGACTTCTTGGCTTTAGATACACCATTCCCCATTTAAGAGAGATGCCTCCTGCAGGTTCCTACTTTGCATGGGGCATTGCTTATTCTCTACATGTGTGTCTGTGTATGTATGTGTGTGCAGCATGCAAATGACATAAAGTGCTTTACAGAACCCTGAAAGAGGAAATAGCAATCAATATGCCTGTCCAAACAATTAGAAAGAGATGTTTCCAAGTCTTCTAAATCTATCTGGCATGTGTTAGATGCATGCTGTCAGGCTGGCTGTCATTAAATACCTTCTAAATAATGCAAAGACAATCAGATGTATAAATAAGCGATTCAATTTGGGTGATTGATTATTGAAATAAGGCTCATGCACCCAAGGCATGACATTTCCTACCACATCTCCATTTCATTTCTCAGGCGAGAATGATCTTCCTACCTCCTCTCATGGAAAATGATCTCGTGGCTGGAGGTTTAGAGCATGGGCAAATACTGTTGGGTCTTATGCTTGACTGTTCATCTTGCTTGAATATTCCTTGGATACGTGAAACAGGTGTGTCTATTTTGTTTCCTCTCTGTAGTATGGAAACTCCATGCTAGACTCTCCCAAACAAACTACATGCTATACCCTCCCAAACAACCATAGAACAAGTGCTTAAACATCTTTGAAGGTAGAAGTCTTGCAGACAACCTTAATATGACTTGGCTTTTCTTCTCTGTGTTCCTACTAAATTTTCCAATGTTTGCAACTCCTGGAAAAAAAACATAGTGAAATATTTTCAGTGTTCTTGCTATTTGTAGTTGTATTTCAAAAAGACACTAATATAGAGTTTATGTAGTATGGGGATCGCCACCAAATTATCTCTGAGAAAGTAATAAAACACACTGTGTTTCTCTTTCCTGAAGGTAGAACATCTGATCTGAGTCCTATAAACCTCCAGACCTAACTCCTGCCATCCAGTATCCGAGTCAACAGATTAAGCTCCTGTCTCCATTAAACCTTATCTCATACCACTGCAGCCTTTTGGAAGAGGCCCTCTTGCAGATTTGAGAGGAGAACATTCATAGGAGTTAGTTCATGACACAGCAGGACACGGCATGGCTCTCTAGCTCACAGTCTGGCATTTGTCGTTGGCAAAGGTCAATTAGTACAGATAAGAAATCCAAACTCTCTAAGCCCTAGTTTTCCTCACTAAGGAAGTACATTAGCCTTAAGGCAGAACTTCCTACCTGGCAAACAGACATTTATCTAGATTAGAACCTCACTGCTCCAAGTGTGATCCTTGGGCCAACAGCCTGGGCCTCACCCAGAAGAGTGTCTCAGGCTACACTGCAGACTTACCGAATGGGAATCTACATTTTAACAAGTCATCAGGTGACTCAAATGCACATTTAACTTTGAGATATGCTGCTCTAAAACCTAAAAGAAGTGTGGTGGAAAAAAGTGGGCACTGTGTATAGCATTTTATAGGGTGATATAGGTTAGGCAACCTGCTTTCACAACTTCACTATTTTGACCTGTAAAAATTGAGATTGAAGATGAAACTTCCTCTACATGGTAGCTGAAAAGCTAAATGAACTCATATATGCAAAGGGTCTAACCCAGAGCCTACACCCTCTTGGGCCCTCAGCAATAGGTGGGTTTTCTCTATCAGGTTTTTGACTTATAAAATGGTTACTATTTTTAAGAAGTTACTATTACTTACCCACTTGTAGTTTTCGATGCCTATGGAAGAGGCTAATGCCAATTAAACAACTATAATAACACCTCATCTACTACTTGTTGTTATAGTTAAGATATAGTATAAGATAAAATAAACCAGATTAATATTGAATAGATTAATGTTAATAAAACAACTATAACAACACCTAGTAGACAAGGTGATAGGTAAATCTTGATTGTTTTCCTTCCCTTTTCTGAATGATAAATGGCATGTGAAGGCTAAGAACAATGCCCAAAGACAGAATAAACCCTCAAAAATGGTAGCAGGGACTATGAGTAGTAGTTTAGGAATTTCCTTCAGGCAGTCTCTTGATCAGCTCTACCCTTGATTTTATGATGGTTTTTGTAACATTTTCACCAAGCAGGTGAATGAAAGCCTTAGAAAAGTTCACGTCAAGTCATCTCTCCAAATGGTGCGCTAGAGAGACACCTTGGCTTGGAAGCAGGGAGATACTTCTACTCCTGGGAATGCTAGTAGCGCAATGTAGGCCTGGTTCCATCTCCCTGGAGTTGGAGGTCACCTTCCCTAGTGGGATGTTGTCAATGTTCTTTATTTGCCCAACTCAGACTCCTCAAGACTCAGTTTAGGTACTGTCTCCTCCAGGAAGCCTCCCATTACCCACGTTCCAGCTTAAATTGATGTTCATCCTCTGTTCTCCCAAAGTACCTGTGATTGTTTTTGCTGAGCTATAACCAAAGTCATCTTCTCTTGTTCCCCAACTGAACTAAGAGGACCTTGGAGTCCAAATCGTATTCAATTTTGACCCCATGTCTCTTCAACCCCAGCCTCAATTAAGACAACAGTTATTCACTGTTAATGGTAATGTCAGCATTCCAGACATGTTAAACCATTTATTTCCACTGCTTCTAGTTGCTGTATTAGGAACAAGTGGTGCCCCAGTGCAGATAATATAGTATCCACCCTGTCCTCCTCAGGCCCCTTCCTGAGAAGTCTCATGTTTTGCTTTCATCACCTGCTACTAGCCTTGTGCAAGTTCAGAAAATAAACTCTCCAAGTCACTCAGTGTTACGCTTTTCTTTTCCTCCAGTCCTGTTTATTTTATCACGTGCTCTTCACTTCCGAACAACATCCTCTCTCTTTTTCCTCTCCACACTTTCTTTCACCAAAACACTTCAAGTGAAAGATAAAATAATTCATATTACTACTATTCCCAGGGTAAGCTGGGTAATAGAAGTAAAGTCTTAAGTCAAAACAAACAAACAAACAAACAAACAAACAAAAACAGCAACAAAAAACCTCTAACTGGGAAAACCTGGTTTTACTAAGCCATTTAACAGAATGTAAGATGCATACTGCCCTCTGAAGTGATTAAGTGACTTGTCACCATGGCCCTGCTGAGTATACAGACTATATACAGTCTGTGCGTTTCTGGATGCTGCACATATGGCAGTAAACGATACCGACATTAACCTTGCCCTCGTGGAACTTGTATTCTGGTGACAGAAACAGCACAGTAAACCTACAAATAACAAATAAATTTGATATTTACTTTGGAAAAAATATCTAAAGGAACTAGGTGGGGTGATATGACAGAGAGTAGCTTGGAGAGGCCCCTTTGAGGAGGGAAGGAAGCACACCTTCTGAGCTGAGTCTCAACTGGCAGTGACACTAAGCTTGGTATGTGGACAGGGGGTGATAAGTGTTCTGGGCAGGGGAAATAGAACAGTCAAAGGAAAAGGTCATGGCAAGTAAAAGAAAAAAGAAAAAAAGTCAATCTGATCAAAGTGAGTAAAGGGGGCATTCCTGTGAAATGAAGGAAATGGGGCCAGTGGGAAGGGGCCAGATTATTCCAGGCATTGGAGGCCATGGTTAAGATTAGTGTATTCTAAGAGTAATGGGAGCCCCTGAAGGGAGTGACATGATCTGGTCTACATTTGTAAAAGATCACTGACCACTGTACTGAAAATGGATTGTGGAGAGGCGTGTGACTGCAAAGAGGAAGATAATTCTGAGCTCCTCAGCAGTTTCAGCCCTGTAGAATTAGAATAGACTTGAATACACCTGTTCATGCAGTACCACAACAATGACTATGGCTAAATTTTGAGCACCTTGACACAGAAACAAACATCTGATCTTCGACCCACTAACTCCTGGAGACAGCAGAATTATTTCAAGAAGTCTTGGGGTTTATATGTGTACCAATCATTATTGATAGAATAAGTAACATGGCTCATTTTAATATTATTTATATTATTTTTCAGTATAAATAGAATTATAATTGATAGAATGCATGTACTGTTTAAAATGCATTATTTAATTCATAGAACTTTCTGTCATTATGTGTTTCACAGTTATATTAAATGAATTCTTTAATTGGTATGGAATCTACAAAATGAGTAAGTGAGTTAATTGCTAGATTTCATCCTGACTCAAAGAACACTATGCCCTCACTACACTGTCTCCTCTTCCTGGAGACCCTAGAAGATTATGTTTCCCCAGTCACACTAATGGTTAGGGTGGAACCACGAGATTGAGTTCTCAGCAGTGGGACTGTGAGCAGATGTGATGTGCTACTTCCTACCTGAGCTGTATAAGCAGGTATGTGTGCTCATGCTCTCTCTATCCACAGTTCACAAGGCTGGCAGCAAAAATCTCCAAAATGTAGAGTTGTAGTTTAGAAGTAGCTGGGATCTGGGATACCTGAGTCAACATTTAAGGAGGAGAGCGCCAAGGACCATGAGATGATTTGCGATAGACTAGAATGTAAGTGAGAACTAAACCTTCTGTTGTATTAAGCCACAGTGCAATTAGAACTTATTTATTGCTGCAGTCTAGTTTCTCCTAGGCTGACTAATGGCATCCTTCAGATATACTTGCACCTGTAACCAGAGAGGCATATGCAAGGATCATCATTGCCATAGCATTTTGACAGCAAGAGATGGGAAATTGCCTAAATATCCACTCGCAGTAAGCTGGTTCAATTAGTTACAGCACACTCATAAGGTGAAATATGATTCTGGGATTATGAGGGAGCTCTATAAAGTACACTGTTAGGTGTCAAATGCAAGACTCAGTACAGTATCATAGTATTTGACCATTCATATGTGAAAAGGGTAAACTTATGTAACAGCAGCTAACATATATTGGGTGAATGTACCATTTGGTATTTTAAAGATTTACAATTATTAACTCAATCTTCACAACAGCCCTGTAAGGTATACCCAACATTATCCCCACTTGATCACCAATCGAAAGGACAGACAGAAACTTGCCAAACCCAGGCTTCAGGATTTAGGGTTTACACTTCTAGTAACTCACAATAGTCCATAAATGGGAATGCTTATTTATGCAGAGAATTTTTGTGGGAAGGAACACAAGAATCTGGAAGGAATAGGTGTCTTTGGGCAGGAGAACTGAAAAGTTGAGGACAAGGTTGGGAAGAAGATTTGAATTTCAACATATGCCCTTTAGGACTTCCTAATTTTATATTTTAACCATGTGCAGATATCATGTATTTCAAAACATAAATAGATTATTTTTAAAAGAGCAAATATATTAGCAGATTGTCTTAATTTTAACATCATGTCTCCAGTCTTCAGGACAGGCTGACTCCCAATCCAAAAGAAAAATCAGCTTGACTAATTTCTAGGACAGCAAAAGGAGCCTGAAGGCTCTCGGCAAAATCCTTGTCCCCTCTCAAGTCATGGTTTCTTTTTCTGCTCCTCCCCCCAGCTCCCCAGGCCCTGGTGACAGAGAGAGGAACACTGCACCACTGTCTGCGAATGCATTCTTTGTTCAAAGAGAAGTTTTCACTCAAATAGATTTTTGCCTTTTGCAATTATGCCATTAAAAGTGTTCTGAACTTCAGAGTTGAAATGAACTCCAGAAAGGGTCTGCCCTTTTAGCTCTCTGGCTTTACATAATTTATGGTTTTGAATCTTATTAAAAAATGCAAAGGGATTCAGAAAAGGTTCTAGGCAGGCACTCATCCCTCTTCCCCTCCCAGCATAGTCCTCATTGAATTTCTCTCCCCACTGTGATGGGGGTACTGTCTTCGGGATTGAAGGGTCTTAATCTGGGTCATGGGAAGAATACAGGCATATGGAAATTGTTCCTCAATCACCCTGCACATTTCTTTGGCTCATCCGTTATCAGCTGTAATATTCCCCTCCCATGCCCCTTTTCCACTGGTACCTTCCCCTCCCATCCCCTCTACTCCCCTCTCTTCCATTCCCTACTTTTCCTTCCTTTTCATCCAACTGTCTTTCCATCTTCCCTCCTCTGACTCACCTGGTTTGGGGAGTGCCACATTCAGTGAAGTAGACAAGACCAGAGGAATGGGATGCTTGAAATCAAATTATCTGCTTTCTATTCTGTGCTCTGCCACTTTCCAAACATGTGCCTCTGGGCAAGCCGCTTTAACCTTTGAAGCCCCTTTTTGCAGGTTTGTGAACTAAGGCTAATAGTTGCATCTATCTCAAAGGTTACAGGGCAGGTTAAATAACACACTGAAAGTAAAGAACTTAACACTGTGTTTGCATATAATAAGCATTTAATATTAGCTTCGTTATTTTGGAGAGACAGAACGGGGTTGTAGGTGAGGTCATGTCCTCTGGGGGCAGACAGCCTGAGTTTGAATCCCCCTGGTCTGCTGTTTGATTGTTGCGCCATTTTCAAAGTCACTTCTCCTCTCTAAGGTCAGTTTCCTTATCAGTGTAATGGGGATAACAATGCCATTTTTCTGTAGGATTGCTGTGAGAAGGAATGAGATGAAACATCTGTAAGGGACTGGCACAGGGTAGACCTTCAATAAACCCAGGCTCTTGGTGTGGAAATTTTGTGCCTAGCAGAGGGAAACAAATAAATAACATTCAAACAAAAAAGTTGCTTTAATCCCTTGAAAATTATTTTATCTAATTACTTCGAAAGAAGGGTGGCCTCACCCTAAGCCAGATCCTTGGCTTCAAGTCCAGCCCTGGGCCGTTAACTATTGACTTTTAGCTATGCTGTCTGTTGGAAAAGGCTGCATACCCCAGACCTGTGACAGTTTTCTGGATGAGGAGGTTGTCTGAATTTTCACCTGGCAACCTTCAACTCTGTCCCCCCTCCATGGCAGGGATACCCCCATACATTTTTCTCTGTTCTTGGCAAGCCCTCCACCATCTCCCTAATCAAGTTCCAGATAAGGAGTGCAGCAACTGAGAACATGTGTGTCTGTGTGGGTGGGTGCAGGTGGGAACAGGGTTTCCAGTGGAGAAGACCCAAACCTCTGCCTCATTCTCAGCCTGGGACAAGCTCAGTGCTCAAGAGTCCAGAAATTGTGGCTTCCAACCTGGGCTCAGAACCTTGTTCTTTTGCTTCTGGCTGTGAACTCTGGCCAAGTTATTTAGCATCTCTCAACTTCAGTTTTCTCGACTGTGAAAGTGGAAAGACAACAGAGCATTCCTCAGAGAGTTGCCTGTGGAGTAACTGGCTCAGCAAATGGTAGAGGGGTTATAACTGGTCTAGCCTTGCATGATGGGTCTTCAGAGTAGCCAACCGAGGGTCCATGGTGGGCAGAGGGCTGGAGAAACAAAGTTGGACCCCTTTAAGATCTGAGGTTGCCAGTCCATCTGTTTCCCTCTACGTACAGTTTGAATGGTCCAGAAGTCAGCTCCTGCCAGAAGGGGACCCAGGACTGGGAGAGAGAGCTGGGAAGTAGCTGAATTGGATGGAAGGCTCTGCAGAATATCTGCAGAATCCGTCAATAGGCCTTCTTTCTGTGGGTGCTGCTTAAGCAGGGAGCTGGAATTTATTCTCTCTACTGCCCCCCTGGACTCGTTCTTGGCATGCTGTGTGCCTTCTCAAGCCAACAAACAAATTTGCACCTCATGTAGCAAAATAAATAAATAAATGAACCCTGGAGGTATCCAGCGTCTATGGCAGGACGGACCCAGGAGCTCTGCCTGGCACTGCCCTCAGCCGCCCTGGCTCCCGAAGGCTCAAAGTGCCTTACTTTGCACCCTCTTAGATCCATCTCATCTTTTATTTCAGAAGGTGTTAGGATTCTTTTATTTTCCAAGAGTTTCTTGGAACAGAATGAGAATCACAGACTGTCAGGGCAGAAAGGCACCTCGGGAATCATTTCCAGAGATTACAAAATTGCAGCCCATGGCAAATCTGACCCACAGGCACATTTTATTTTGTTCATACAGATGTTTCTTTTTTAAAAAACGTGGCTGGAGGCAGTGGCTCATGCATGTAATCCTAGCACTTCGGGAGGCTGAGGTGGGTGTATCACATGAGGTCAGGAGTTCAAGACCAGCATGGGCAACATGGTGAAACCCCGTCTCTACTAAAAATACAAAAATTAGCTGAGTGTAGTGGTGGGCACCTGTAATCCCAGCTACTTAGGAGGCTGAGGCAGGAGAATCGCTTGAACTCGGCAGGCGGAGGCTGCAGTGAACTAAGGTCTTGCCACTGCACTCCACTCTGGGTGACAAGAACGAAACTCTATCTCAGAAATGAAATGAAATAAAATAAAATAAAATGACGGATATGCCAACTTTGAAAACCTGAGAGTTCCTTCTGGATGCGCAGTTTCCCTTGCAGTCATCAATCTGGCAACCTTTGCTTGCAACAACACGTCAAAAATTGGATGGATGGGGAAGTGGCTGCCCCTTGGCACTGTGCGTGAGCCTCCACCCACCACAGTCCTCATAACTTCCTATTGTGTTATACTCAACCCCTTTCATTCATTTCCTTATGTGCGTGGCCCCAACTGACATTTGAATTTGCAACTTCTTTTTTTTTTTTTTTTTTAATTGAGACCAGTCTTGCTCAATTGACCAGGTTGGAGTGCAGTGGTGTGATCCCAGCTCACTGCAACCTCCGCCACCGGGGTTCAAGCTATTCTCATGCCTCAGCCTCCTGAGTAGCTAGGACTATAGGCAAGCGCCACCACACCCGGCTAATTTTTTTTTTTTTTTTGTATTTTTAGTAGAGATGGGGTTTTGCCATGTTGGGCAGGCTGGTCTCAAACTCCTGACCTCAGGTGATCTGCCTGCCTTGGCCTCCTAAAGTGCTGGGATTACAGGTGTGAGCCACCGCACCCGTGAATTTGCAATTTCTAATCTAATTAACTCCTTAATATATGTATGGGAAATCTAAGAAGTGACTCTGCCAATGACACCAAAAAGCACAAGTGCCAAGAGTGGGATTTGAACCCATTATTTCTAGGTCAGAGCTCTCTTCATGGAGGCCAAGCCTGTGGATGGCAGCCCATCTATATGGCATGCACACTGGCACTGACACTGAACCCACTGTAGGGTTCTGCATCCCTCCTCTCTGGCCATCACCCCTCATGAGTTGTGGGTTCAGGCTGTGATAGCTGTTGTATAGGGCTGGACTCCAGGGTTCCATCTGGGCCTCTCTCCAGATGGCCAGAGCCAGAGAAACAGGCCCAGAGACAATCCTTGCCTTCCAGTTGCATGTTTTGAGAGAGATCCCCTCTCTTTATCATCTCTCCTCTTATCCCTTTCCATTGTCTCTGTTATACATGCTGGTATCATAGTCTCAGTGTTTTGTGTAAATTGTGGTTAAGAGAGGTGAGCTCATGTGGTACAGGGTGCCTGGCAGCCCCAGAACTCAGTCTCACTGCCTTTCATCCCTCATTTACTCATGAGGGCATCAGGCCTGAAAAGGTAACCTGACACTGGCCCTGCAAAGCCAGGATAGTGGCTAAGCCCTGGCCTTGTTCTTCCAGCATTCATCCCTCAGGGGCACATCAAATGGTGCCAGGAAAGACCAGGGCTGCCACTGAGCAGGCTGAGAGGAGACTGGCAGGCAGCAGCAGCAGTGACCTCTTTGTCCTCTGCCTCTGGGGGCCTCAATGCTCTGCAGAGGCTGTGACAACAGGTGAGGGTTGGGGGAGGGGGATGTCTCAGTGTTTGGCAGGTCCTGTGCATTAATATGGGTGCCCAGAAGCCCTGAGGGCTGATGGGGCTGGCAGGGGCTAGCCCTGTGTTTCTATTCTCTTCAGGCAGTGCAAATCCCTGTCTCTGAAAATAAAATTAAAAGGAGCAGCTGGGAGATAATACATACAGTAGATCCAAATGTAAAATGCCTCTCTGTCCTTCTGATAAGGCTGCTCCTAGGACAAGCAACAAGGATTACACAGTAATCTTATTATACATGGTCTGCCAAGGGCAAAGAAAGGGTCAATTTTCTGTGCACAGCAGAAGAAACACCATCCCCCCACTTTCCTGCACAGAGCCACCATGGCCACTGCACTGGTTCGTACTCCTCAGGAAAAAGGCACAAGCATGCTGGCTCCCTGGGCTTCTTTCAGGCTGTAGAAATTTCCATCCTCCTCACCCTGTCTCAGAGTAACTCACCTGATGCCTCCTACCTCATTAACTTTCCCCACAGTTTGAATCTGCCGCTGGAGTTTGGATTCCATCATTTGTCAAAAGAGAAAACTGTATGGGAAGAAGAAAGCTCATTGAGACCAAATGCTCCCAGTGTCTGTCCTGTCTAAGTATCCCAGTAGCCGGGGACTTGCCTCCCTTTTTGTGGGACAATCTGACAAAGCAAATGGTTGTGATAAGCTTCTGTCCAAAGAGGTAGTATTGAGAGGAGGGAATGTGGGTGGCAAGTGGGAGATGAGATCTTATTCTTAACTTCTGACTCCACTGCCTGCTTCCTGAGTAACTAAGTGATGAAAATCCTACCTGGTTCCTACCTGGCTTCCTCTTCCCTCACAGTCAGTGAAATCTAATGCCAACTTCTTCACTCATGGAGCATAACTCTGGGGTATGTGTGTGTGGTGTTGGGTGGGGAGCAGGGGAAGGAGGGAGGGATAGACTTGGCAAATTGCTATTGTCAGTCACCTAAGGATGGGAAAATGCACAGATTTTGGCCAGTGAAAAAGTAACAAGATCTGGTATTTACATCATTTTTACATGCGAAACCCAGGGCAGTTTATACAATTGCAAACAACCCTATTTTGATTGCCAATGGATGGGAAGAAAAAAGACAATTTAAGAAAATGATAAAACCACTGTTTTGAGCTTCATGTATATTTCATTTACATGTGACACTGGAATATAGATTTGTGCTTACATTATATGAAGTAATGTTTGATGTGCTCACAGTGCACGAAACCACCTCCATCTGTGGGGTGACAACCTGAACATGGCAGGAGCGTCATCGGGACTGGTTAAGTGAGTGAATGAGCATTATTGTCTTATGATAACACATATACCCACAGTCGTACTGATGTTCCCCTCTCTGCCGAAGTCCTTTGATGACATTAAAAATTACAGGGATGAGGAAGGAACATAATTACCTGAGAATTTAAACCAGGAGACAGCAAACTTTTTCTGTAAAGACTCAGATAGTAAATATTTTCAGCTTTGTAGGCCAGAAGGTCTCTGTTGCAGCTACTCAACTCTGCCTTTGTAGCACAAAATTAGGCATACACAATACAAAACAAACAAATGAGCATAGCTGGGTTCCAGTAAAAATTAACTTACAAAAACAGGTGGCAAGCTGGGCATGACCCACGGGCCATAGTTTGCTGACCCCTGATCTAAACCTTTGGCAAGATCAAGCACTATGTTAAAAACAAGTCTGACACTTTGGCAGCATTTGGTCATGGAGAGAGGACTGGATCCAGCAAGTTTTCATGAAAAAAGGCACAAAACTTGTCAGGGAAACTGCATTCTCTTTCTGGTTCACTGACCTAGAGTGAGGCCCTAAGAAAGCCACTTTACTTATCTCAGCCTCAGTTTCCTCAAGAAAAACGTGAGGGTTTACACCAGAAGCTCTTTCACTCCTTTAGCATGTACAGAATTCACTGTCACATACCCTCCCCATACCCCCACCATTATTATATTGTTACCTTTGATGAACTTTTGGAGGCTCAGCATGCACCTCATGGAGAAAACAGAACAGGCAAGAGCATCCTGCACTTAGGAATTGAAAAGAAGCCAGGGGTCTGGAGTTGAGTGAGCTGGAAGAATAGGGAGGTAAAATACCTCACCCAAGGTAAAAAAAAAAAATATGATGTTTAAGCTCAGAGCAATTGGAAGCCATTGAGGAGTTTTATTTGAGAGAGTGATATGACTGGATTTTCATTTTTCAAGGATGTCTCTGACTGCCATGTAGAGATTGAAACAGAGAGCTTCCAGTGGGGATAGTTCGGAGGGTACTTCAGTACAGCTGGCAGTATTTTCGAGGAGGGTGGTGAAGGTGGAAAAGATTCAACACAAGTGTGAGAGGAGCAATAGACAGAACTCCATGACTGATTGGCTGAAGATTTCCATAATGAACTCAGGGTATGGAGGTGATCTTTACTGATATGAGAAGTTCTGGAGGAGGAAGGACTGCGGTAAGAGGAAGAGTTTTGTTTAAGTCATATTGAGTTGTGTTATCACCTGTTGCTCCCTGCAGACACCAAATTTTCTAACTTGGCTGCACCAATAAGAGTTCTCACTGGTGTGTTATTACTGTCCTCACTGGTCCTTCCTTGGGAAGATAAGATGGGTCTCATGCAAAAGTATTGGGTCCCACTGTCTCTGATACCATTAATTCCTACACTTCTAAATTTCCTGATGTTGAGACCTATGGTCATTTATACTCAGAACCGATAGCTTCCTTGCTTTTTCCTTTTCTGTTGGACATCCTTCTGTACCACCTCAATGAATATCTGCAACCCGTGCTGAGCAATCCAGCTGTGACTCCTTCCTGGCTCTTTTTTGTTCTTTTCCCAGGAGTATAAATAGTCCTGACCTCCCAGCATCTTTTGCGTGGGATGTGCTGAGCTCATTGTGACTCTTGGCTTGTGCATTAGGTGTGGCTGGACCCCAAGCTGTAACCTGTGTGCATATAAAAACAGTCAAAGATCTAAGGTTTATTATACACTTAAATTTCTGGCTTCTTACCCTTTTTGCTCTTTGGGTCAAGGTCCTGGCCATCCCAAGGCTTACTTCATTAAAAACAGGGAAAAGTTATGAAACTCCAATCATGAGGCTATTGTCAAAATTGCATGAAGGTATGTTTTCTGGATGACCTGTGAGCACCATTTCTATATCTTCTCTTTTCGTCTTTGTGAATAATTGGTGCTACCTGTCATAATTGAATCATTGATAATGATTGCCAAGCCCTTACAAAATGTCAAATACTGGATATATAATAAACCCTATCCTGGGAAACTCTAAGCATAGGCCTGGGCTTTGTTCCCCACTATTTACAGAAAACTTAACTTCAGAAAAATCCCATAAATGGTCCAAATGAAGACCTTCCTTCATGATCCAAATGAAGACCCCCTCCATTTCTTACCTCATTAAGGGAAACACACACATGATGTCCTTTCATTCTACCATATTTTCCACCTTTTCCTCTGTTAGGATGGGCCTTATATTGAAGAAAATAGAGCACAGTTGCATCTGAAGGACACAGAGGAAAAATATACCCCCCAGGCAAAAGAGAGATGGAATGAGCAAGTGCATTAAAATGTTATTGAAAATAGAGAGGAACAAAGCAAAATCCCATCAGCTCAGCAGTCCTGGATTATTTCACTACATGACACCAAAAATGAACAAGATACTAATCAATTCATTTTTTTTCCACATGACTCTTAGTTAGAATGAGAACATCTGGAGTTTGAAATCAATTGTCCAGAACTAGCTGCTGAGCTAATTAATATTCGTTCAAATGGCACTCCACCAAGGTGTCCCTTCTTGCATCTCTATTCCTTGCAGGCAGAAGTGCTTTCCCATCACCTTTGTCCATCTTAAAAGAACTCTGGTTGGCCAGTACAGGGAGAAGGGAGAGCAGAAAAGGGTGATAAAAGAGCCTGCTGCAAGCCGTTCTGTTGAAGACAATGAAGAAGTGCTGGAAAAGAACTTAGGAGAAGGAACGTTTCTGCAGAGTGAATACAGGGATGTAATCAGCAGGCTTGCCTCTCCACTCTCTTCAGCATAGAAGAGGGTGAGTCCCAGAATGATTTCATGTTTGCATCTTATCAAGGAGGGAAGGAACCAGAATTAAGGTTCTTTTCCTTAACCATAGGCTATTCTGGCTTGGGCACCATTTCCCTTTTTGGTGACAAAGAGGGGTAGGTGCTCCAAATGTTTGGGAACTGTCACTACCAACAAGTCTGACCATCCCCCAAAGTTCTCTTTCTTTTATGGCTTGCAACCATCTATTATTTTTCTTTTCTTTTCTTTTCTTTTTTCTTTTGAGACAGTCTTACTCTGTTGCCCAGGCTGGAGTGCAATTGCGTGATCTCGGTTCACTGCAAATTCTGCCTCCTGGGTTCAAGAAATTCTTGTGCCTCAGCCTCCCAAGTAGCTGGGATTACAGGTGCCTGCCACCATACCTGGTTAATTTTTGTATTTTTAGTAGAGATGATGTTTCACTATGTTGCTCAGGCTGGTCTCGAACTCTTGACCTCAGGTGATCTTTCCGCCTCGGCCTCTGAAAGTACTGGGGTATAGGTGTGAGCCACCATGCCGGGCCTAATCATCTATTCTTTACTTCCACTTCATAGTGCGTATGTTGAACAGAGACTGGTACAGCTGTTAACATGCCAACAGACCACTTCATTCAATTCACTGGCTTGTTGGTGATTCACTTTGTAGACCTGAACTGACCAATATGGTAGCCCCTTGAAATGTGGCTTCTCTGAATTGAGATGTACTATAAGTTTAAAATGTACACTGTGTTTCAAAGCCTTAATATGTAAAAAGAATGTAAAATATTTCATTAATAATTTTTATATTGATTATACATTGAAAGATAATACTTTGGATATAGTGTATTAAATTAAATACATTATTAAAATTGGCACCTGTTTCTTTTTACCTTTATAATGTGGCTACTGGAAAATTTTAAATTACATATGTGGCTTACACTTGGGGTTACAGTATCTTTGTATTAGATAGACTTAAATTTCAATTGATGGTAGTGTTCAGTTCCCTTTAATAAAATAACTGCTATTTTTTACTGGTAACTTAACATGATGCACCTACCATGGGCATGCCCCTATTTTAGCTACTTGTACATTATTGTGGCAGCCCTACAATCTAGGAATTACCAGCCTCATTTCATGAATGAAGAACTTGGACTATGAGAGGACTTGTTACCTGATGGACTTATTTTGTTCAAGTCAACATTTACTGAGCGCCCACTGTACGCTCTACGGTGTTCCAGGCACTTGGGGTCCCAGGTCTGAAGAGTTACCAGTCATGACAGATCTGATAGAAACCTAAGTTCCCCAGGTTCCCCTCCCTCTAAATTACTCTTTCCCTGACACTATGTGACTCTTTTTGAAGTTTCTCAGTGTCAGGATTACGGGATTTTCAGTCACTTTCATTATTTCATCTTTTGCCTTTCTTTTTCATGGGGATCAATTATGAGGACAAGGAAATTGAATAGAATTGGAACTAGAGTCTCGGGTTTGGCTTATTGGAGTGTTCTCAGTGGTCTGCAGGTGTAATAAGCCAAAGTGTCCAGTTCTTGACTTTATATTCATATATATAAGTACCAGGATGATTCAGGAAGGTCCAGGACTTGATTAACTCTATCGTCTTGGGGAAGCAGATTGCATCTGGAAGGTCTGGGCAGAAGAACGAGGAGGCATAAAAGTTTGCAGATACTGTGCAAAGGAAGCAGAGCCAATGGCAGAAACTGAACTGGACTGAACAGTGGGGAAATGTTTATATGGGCTCTGATTACTAGGCTGGGGCTTGCAATCAGAGGCCTGGCAGCATGTGAAGGCAGTTGAGCATACAGGAAGGAAAGCTGAAATTGCGAAAAGGATCAGACAGAGAATAACATCTAGAAAGAGAGATCAGAAATGATGCCTCTGATTCTGGAAAAGACAAATATGTCCATCTGTAACGTGACCTGAATGTGGGCTTTGGATCTCAAGCAAAAGCTTCCCCGGTGATAGGACCTGTCTTGGTATAGGAGATCAAAAATAATAGTAGTTATTCTGTCCTCAGCATAGGGGTGGAACGTTATATTTTTAGTTATAAAGATATTTGTGTTCTGTTACCAATTTAATTCTCATAAAATTCTAAGAGGCAGGTATTAGGTTGGTGCAAGAGTTATTGCGGTTTTTGCCATTACTTTTCATGGCAAAAGCTGCAATTATTTTGCACCAACCTAATACAACCTTTATTATTTTTTCCATATTGCAGATGAGGAAACTGAGGCACAAACTGCTTAGGTAACTTTTTAACACACAATTGGAGAGACAGAAGCTGGGATTCATATCTTAACCATGTATTAGCTATCTATTACTGCATAATAAATTACCAGAAACTCAGAAATGTAAAACAATATACATTTATTATCTCATAGCCTTATGGGTTGGGATTCACAGATCCTTTGCTCATGGTCCCACAGAGGTTGTCATCGAGGTGTTGGCTGGACCACATTCTCATCTGGAGGCTTGACTGAGGAGGAATCCAAATTCATTCAGGTTGTTGATAGAATTAATCTCCTTGTAGCTGTATGACAGTGTTCCCCACTTTCTTACTGGCTATCAGTCAGTTCCCACTCTCAGCTCCCAGAGACCACCCTCAGGTCATTTCCATGTGGCCCCCTCTATCGTCCATCTCAAAGCATGGCAGCTTCTTCAAGACCGGCAGGAGAATATCTCCCTCCCCTCTGCTACAAGGGAGTCTTATATAATGTAATGTAGCCATGGGAGTGATTATCCCATCACCTTTACCATCTTCTCTTGTCTAAAAGCAAGTCACAAATTCCACTTGTCCTCAAGAAAACAGGATAATACAAGGGTGTCACTAATTGAGGATCATCTTAGAATTCTACCTACCAGAGTGTGTTCCATTCACAGAAATGAGAGATGAGAGCTAAGTGTGCTGCTTCACCGAACGAGGCTGAGCTTGTTCTGTTCTGCCTGCTCCATCACTTCTTCCTCCTGTAAAGAAGATCCTTGGGCCCAGAACCAGCTCTTCCCAGTCCCTGAGCCTATGAACCCGAAGCCTGACAACACCTTCTCTCAGGGGCCCACTTTACCAGTAGGTTGAGCCTGGAATCTTCTTGCCTTCCTAAGCCTGGAAACTTATGCCTCAGATGACTATGTCTTAGATTCCATAGATTCATCTGTTCATTCCTCTTCATGTACCATTGCCAGACTCTGTGCTGGGGAAATAAAAAGCCCTCTCCCTTGGTCGACCAGACTCTATCTTCTAGTTATTAGATTCAATCCTGTTTCAATTCAGAAGATACCTGGACTTTTAGGACTAGCATCCAGAGATGCCAGAACTCTGCACATGCCCATCATAATGGATTTCTTAAAGGTCAGTGCAGCCTACATTGCATTTTTGACTATTGTCTAAAGTCTTCAGAAGATGCCCATAGCTGGGTAGGCTCATGCCCAGCTTGTCTGCCTCTCTTTCTCCCCTACCTCTCTCTCCTCCATCCTGCCTCCAGGATGCCTTCCAACATGAACTAGGAGAACTATGAGAGCCCCCACTGTACTTGCAGCTAGAGGCTGCTGCAGCAAGTTGGTTTCACTTATATCTAATGAATAGCTTTAAATAAAATCATGGCTGTATTTTGTTAATGATATTTCTGAATCTTGAAAAGACAAACATGTCCATCTGTAACACTACCTGAATACTTTTACCTTTTGGGGGTTAATGAGATCACAGGGCTATAAATAAAGCAATAGTCCATAGCAGAAGTCTCTGACCAAAAGTTGATAGGGATTATGTGTTCCTGTCAGGTCCCTGGTCGGGGAGCAGGAACAAAGCCTCTGCCTGAAGGCCCAGTCTCCCTGGAAGCATCTGGCTGCAGAACAGGTGTCAAACAAGAAGGCTCCAAATAGGGCAGGAAGCATATTGCCTCTTTCCTTGGCTTGGTGGTAAAAATTTGGTCAGTGCTTCTGTTAGTCAAAAGAAATGTGTTTTGTTTACTGACTACCCAGCTAATATAGGAGTTAATAAGTATTCAATATATTCATATGCAGAAATAAATGAATAGATGAACAGGTGAATGGATGAGTTATATTACTTATCAATCATTTGTGTATTTATCATTTTAAAACATATTGGTCAGGTGAGTTTCTTTTCCCCACTCACCACTCCCCAGTTTTGGCAGGTGCTGAAAGCCTAGATTCGTTCTTTCCCATTGGATCTATTGTTTCCTTTGCTTTTGCATAAATGAACTGATCATCTAATCTTAATTCCATCTAGAAGTGGACCATCTAATTAAGCACTTCTGCTCTTCTAGATCCTAGACCTCCCTATCTTGACCCATTCTGTCCCTTATAACCCATGCTTTGCTGTGATAATCTTTAAGAGTCCTTCTTTAAACCAGGAACCTGAGATGAGAACCATTGAAATACACAACCAACAGGTGGTTTTATATTAATATACCATGGTTTCTTGATTCTTGCATTACCTGCATTGTTGTTTTACAAATAGATATTTAAGAAAGTTGATGTGGTGGAGTAGCGGTCCATTACACATTTCTGAGAGTTCTATGACTTTTCCATGATGATTTAAAAATTTTTTTATTTTATATGTATGCCAATTATATAATCTTACAGGCATTTTCTAAAGCCTTAATATGACCATTATTTAAGAAAATACTGCCACCATTTCAGTGACCACATTTATAGTTTATGATCACATCAAAGCCAACTAGTACTATTCTAATTATCTGAGCAAAGGAGGAAAGAATAGAGGTAGACTAAAGCATCAAATATGTTTTCTAAGTGATGTCACTTCATCCTGCACCAGGGATAGCTCTGCAGTAGTTTGCAAAGGAAAAAAAGTAATGAAAAAATTGAATCATCACAGATCCCACATTAGTATTAGCATGCTAAATTCAAAATAATTTATTCCAGCAGTCAGTATCATATTCACATTGTGAGCTGAAATTTAGTTTTAGCAAAAGAACCATATCCATCACATTAAATTAATGTTGTTAATTTAAATGTTATTGGTTTTGTTTGTATTTGATTTGTGACTTTGTTTTGATTTTATAGCTGTATAAGAATTATAAGCATAAAGAATATATACTTAGTTTTATGTCTCTACATATTTTAGCATGTCAGGAATAAAAGAATAAAATGTAAATATTCACTGTCTTTTCCTACCAAATACTTCCTAATAGCACCCAAACTTCCAATTTCCCTGAAGTTGTCTCCAAGTCTTTCCATTCCTGGAGAACAATGGAGCTGTCCTTAGTTAGGGGGATCCCTCCTCTGGACCACTGGATAGATCCAAATTTTGCACAAGGACTTCACTCTGTAGATGATAGGGTTTATAGATTACCTAGGGTGGAGTAAACTCTCTGAGAATTTCATTGCAGGAAGGTTTATAACTCTGTTGAGGTTGAGCTTGCTGACATGAGTCATCATGGTACTAGAGGACATCATCCCTTCAAAGAAACACTAAAACAAAAACCAGAGCTGGTATCAGAGCTGAAATTAGCTCCCACTGATGATATGACCTGGGCGTGGATCAAAAGCTCAAAATCTGTCTACATGACCTTCTCAAGCAGACACCAAAGGCAGTGGTTGGAAATGGTTCCCAGGAAAGAAAGCCTTACATTCTAGGTTCCTACTCTAATGAGAAAAGACAGGATAGCCTGTACAGCTCTGCTCTGTATAGATTCTAGTCTCTAGGGCCAAATGACTCATCACTCCTGTACATTAACCATGGGAAGCATGGTGGTGCTGAAACTTAAAGCCATCATTTCTGTCACTGGCTATAGCACATGCACAGAAGGACAGTAGAGTGCAGGCTTCTGAGTTTGCATCCTTTGTGGATATCACACCTCAGAAGTTTCAGTGCTTTTAGTTGAGCCTTGGAAGGAAGAATCGTGGATAGGAAGGAGGATGGCCAGGTAATTAATGTCAGACCAGTGCCCAGAATGTTCCCTCTCCTCTTCATGACAGATCTATCTAGGAATGATTTCAGCCCCCAAAGTCTTGGAATTAACTGCTTTCTCTCATTTCACATGAGGGACCTGAGCCTGGTCTAGACTTTCAGAAGTCTTGAGTATTAAGACTCCCCATGATGGGGACTCCTCCATTCGTTTCTCCTACCGGGTTCTGAGACTCATATTTGGCTGCCTGTTGAGCATAGGGAATCCTTAGAATGAAAAAGGTCTATGTGCTTTCACCATCACTCCTGGCCTCTATGCACTAGATGCCAGTAGCAACCTCCTCCTAATTGTGGCAAAAAAAATGTCTCCAGAAATTGCCAAATGTCACCTTGTGGTAGGGGAACAGAATCTCCTCTGGTTAAGAACCGTTGGTGGCAAATGAGAGATTTTTGAATGTCTACCTGCAAGAAGACTATAAAGGGTTTATTTCCATTTATCTGCTTCTCCAGAATCATTGTACTACCCCAAGCAGATCAATATTACAAATCAGTATCAATGTTACCTCACCCTAGATCTCTACTGACAGCTATAAGGAGTAATTCACCAAATCAAACTTCTAGTAAATCAGCAAGGTAATTCAGAAAACCACATTTTTATTGGTTACCTATCAACTGCATTCACTATATGATCAATTCTTCCAACTCTCCTGCAGGATAGGAGTTAGCAATGCCATTTCATAGGTGAAAAGTTTGAGGCACAGAGAAGTTAGCTTATGAGGGGGAGCTAGGATTTCATCATAAGTGAATTTTGCTCCAAAGTGCATGTAACCATTCTGTTTCTCTGAGTGCTCCAAAATATCCCTGATGAAATGCTGCAATGCACAGCCCCGGAGCAGACCAATGCAGTGGTCCTGTCACCACTAAAGCCACACAAATTGTGCCACACACAGGCTGTCAGTGAGCTGTCAGCCAAGTGCCCTGGGGGCCTGCACTACCACTGTAAGGCTGACCTTGCAGTGCGTTTTGGATTCCCATGAAATCTGAGCACCTTTTTTAAGCACTTTACTGTCTCTGGATATTGGCCAAATCTCCTTCTACTTGTCTTATTTGAATTGTGACTATGATAAAACCTCTATCTTTTAAGAAATGAGGTGGCCTGATTCAGAGCTCACGATTCTAGATGTACGTTCTGAGAAGCTGTGTCCTCAAGAATATATTTTGCCATTTCATGTCCACTAATGCATTTTTCTCCAAATCTTTGGAGGTCATATCCATTTGGTAAACTTATAGCAATTGCCTGTAAAGTTCCAAACAAAATTCTCACTGGCCTATTTTAAAAGTTCCCGAAATAATATAGTTGGAAAAAAAATAGAATTTCCTGCGATTAATTGTTAAAATTCCTATGATAATATATATTTGCATGTCATTTTCCTAGCTACTTTAGGCTGAATTCTCTTTTCACAAAATGATGACATAAAACTGAAATATGGCTGTGAGAAACCCTGGCAAGTGATTTCAGCAGTGGCCCCTTTAACATTTTGGTGGGATTTTTTAGCTCTTTTATTCTCTGTCACCCCTCTACCCCTGCCTCCAGCTAGCTTCCCAATTTTCCATGGTTTTTTTTAACAATTTGTAACTCAGATTACTCTAAGTGATTTAGTATGTTAGCCAATTTCCTTAATATTCTAGGGGCCAGGTCATCAGAATCTACTGATTTGTATACATTCGTATTTCCTAGGCCTTTTCTTATCTAGGTTTTGACAATAGCAATTTGGGTAAGGATTTCATTACTTCCTAATTGCTCCGATTTCTTTTCTTTATTTCCTCTCGTTAATGACTAATTTAGAATGAGTTCCCTATTTCAGCAGCTTTAATCCTGCCCTTCATCCTCTGTTCCTTCCTTCCTTATTACCTGAGCTGAGGTGTCTCGGAGAGCTAATTCACTCGTTCGTTTCCTTTTGGAGGCAGAGAAAGCTTGTTTCTGCCTTTTAGACTTTTATTTTTGCTAAAGAGTTTAGGACAGAAAAGCGCATTTTTAAAAACTTTCCATCCTCTCATATATTTCTCCCACAAGCTGCTTGTAGATCCTTTCCCTCTCTTGCTCCATTAGTTTAATGTTCAGCGGTCAGAGCTGATAAGAGAAAGCTAAATTCCAAACACACCACAAATCTTGTAAGGCACTTTCGGACCTAGCTTCCAAATAACCTTGTTTTCAACCCTACGGGTTTTTTTGTTTCTCTTTTGTTTTGCTGAAAGTGAGCCTTCAAGCTCTATCCTCCTCTACTTTGCAGAGCAGAATCTCAAAAATGGAGGTGGTAAAGAAATGCTTTCTTAGATTTGGGTTGATTTTTTAGTTCCAGGAACACTTAAAATCCTCTTCACTGTCTGTTCAGAGGTGGTTATTGTGTAGTAGATTAAGACATTGTCTCCATGTGGTAATCAGGTATTTCTGGAAATGTTTGCCTTCACTCTGTGTGTGTGTGTGTGTGTGTGTGTGTGTGTGTGTGTGTTTGTGTGTCTAACTGGTAACTCAAACCTATGCTACCTGTTACCCACATGTGCATGAAACTAGCAATCATTTTGGCCAATCCAAGCAGAAAGTTCCTAACATCTGGAGGTTTGAAATTGGTGAACAGAACTCCTGGATCCTCACACTGCCTTTTTTCCTTCTGGTTTTTGTCCTTGTGCTTGGCATCAGTGTAGACATCGCCTTGTGGTTACTCTCGTAAACTGAGCCTTGTGGTTCAGACGTGTTACTGAAGTTAGCCTGAAAAGAACGTCATGGGCCTCGGTGGAGAGTTGTTGGACGAACCCCAGACCATGTTATGAAACAAACCCTTGTTTCCAGGGTAGGACAGTTGCCGGATGATTTGTTTTACATGGTTGCAAATAAAAATGACAAAAGTAAAACATCCTTAATTTCTGGGAAAGTCAGTGCTACAATTTTAAGAAAGAGTTATTGAAGGAAGGGATGATGTCTCATGATGGGAGATCTATAGGAGACAGTCCAAGAGCTTTTCCAAACTGGGGCCACTTTCTCACCTCTGGGGACTGAGCTCTGTGTCTTGGGCTGATGAATAGGGGTCAATGGTTATGTTGGCAGCCAGTCGTGGAGGCCCTGGGTCCCATTTCCTCAGCCACACTGGTCCTTCCTTCTCTTTGCCAATTGAATCCTTGCCTGAGGCCCCTGTGTCTTCTTGGGCTTGATTTCTGCCTTTGAATCTCATTCAATACCCCTTGGAGCCTGATCTTTAAGATTGGGCTTCTCTGTCTGCTGCATCACCTTACCCAAGACTGCAAGGTCAAATTTTTGATCCTTGGTCTATATTTGTTCCTTTGGCCTAGGATCATTTCTGGTGGGGCCTCTTCTCATGTGAAATCTGAATTTGTTGTCCCTCAATTAAACCATTAATAACCTAGTGTTCAGGGTCTGTAACATTTATCCAGTCTTCCAGGTCAGCCTAGATCTCAGGGAGAGGCCTGCTGTATGATGGTTTGCATATCACCTCTTAATCCTGTCCCTACCACCCCACAGTTCAAAATGCAAAGATGGAATGACCCAAGTATGATGCAAATTCAGCAATAATGTCTAAAGAAAAATTATCAAGTAAGGATAATTTTGCCACACCTCCCACCTGCCCAAACCCCCACAGGAGACATTTGGCTGAGTATGGACATTTTTGTTTTTTGGGACTGGGGAGAAAATTGCTGGTGGCATCTAGTAAATAAAGACCAGAGATAGATAATAATAACCATCCCATAGTGCACCGGATGGACCCCACAACAACAAATTGTCTGTAATCTCAGTAGTGCTGAGGTTGAGAAACCCTGACCTAAAGGAAAATCAGGTGAAAGTAATAGATACACCGCTCAACAGAAAGGATTTTTTCCCCTTCAGGCTCAACTCACTTTATTTTCTATTTATTCCACTGAACATTATTAGTCCATGGTAAGTCTACAGGTGCTGATAGACTTCACTGAGATGTCCTTTAGCTCACTTTGGACTCTGTTCCCTAAGACCTTTACATTGTACCAAGGAATTTCCCTGGCACACACACATACACACATACATACATACGTACATACATACATTAACTCAGCAAACATTTTGAGAGAACCTACCTGTACTAAGAGGAAGACAAGGCTCTGGGTATACAAAAGTGATCAACACAGTCTCTGCCACCAAAGAGACTAGTGCGGGAGCCAGCAAGTAATCTAAAGATTGTTGTACAATGAGACATGGCAGAGTAGACATGCAAGAGGAGGAGCATTGTTGTCAGAGTGAAAGCCGGGAGGTACTTCCTATAAAAGGCAAAATCTGAGCCGAGTCTTAATGTATACTTAGTGGTGGCCCAGTGTAATAGGGCAAAAGACTGAAGCAGCCGTAGGAAAGCATGGGCTATGAAAGGGCAGTATTGCAATCAGCCTTCTCCAGAGAAACAGATCCCATAGGATATATACATACACATAAAGGGGATTTACTATGGAGTTGGCTCACATGCTTACAGAGGCTGAGAAGTTCCACTATAGACCACCACTGAGCTGGAGAACCAGGAAAGCCAGTGGTATCATTTAGTCTGAGTCTGAAGGCCTGAGACCCAGAGAGTTAGGAGCAGGGGTGCTTGTGGTTTGTGTAAGTCTAGAATCTGACGGTCCGAGAACCTTAAGCTCTGATGTCCCAGGGCAAGAGAAGATGGATATCCTAGTTCCACAAGAGACAGCAAATTCTCCCTTCCTCTGCTTTTTTGTTGTATTGGTGCTCTTAATGAATTACATGAGGCCCATCCATCTTGGTGATTGGTTGGTCTTCTTTACTCAGTCTACCAATACAAGTGCTCATCTCTTCCAGAAACACCCACACAAACACACTCAGGAATAATGTTTTACCAGCTGTCTGGGCACCCCTTAAGCCAGTCAAGTTGACACATAAAATTAACCACTGCAGGCAGCTATTTAATAGGACCAGCTGGCTGCCCAATGCATTCTTCGTTTCTTTCAGGGTAGAATAGCCTTTCAAGGTGAGTAAGGTGAAAAAATACTATGGAGGTAAAAATAAAGAAGGCAGGTAATTTGTCTAAGGCCACAGCGCAAATCAATGTCAGGGTTAAGATAGCGTATAGTTGTCAGATACAGCTGATTATGTGTGTATTTATTTATTCATTCATTCATTTTCTTATTCAGTAATTATTTATTGAGATACTAGGCACTATGTAAGTTCAAATCCAGCTCTAACACAAATGTTGGACAAGTTACTCAAGCTCTGTGAGCCTTAGCAGGCTTGCCTGTCAAATAGAAACAAGAGTAGTAACTATTTCTCTTGGGGGCTTTTGCAAATATCAAATGAGTGAATGCTTTTGAAGCTTTTAGCATACAATACTTAGGGCAGGCATCCAACTTTATTGTCATCATTGTCTTCATCATCATCATCATCATCATCATCATCATCATCATCATTTTTGCTATCATTATCCCCCTCTCCCAAGTGCATGTTTTCTGTACCAGGGCTTTAGCGCTGCCACCTACGCAGTGAGGCAGCTTCCGGAGGCTCCCAGGCATTCAGGCACAGAGTACTTAGTATTCCATTTGCCTCTTGTCAGCAAGTGGGTCCTGAGCAGAGCAGACTGCTCACTCAGCCTTCAATTCACGCGTCTCCTGTTTCTCTCTCTGTAAGCTGCTAAAAGGTAGGGAGGAAGCTGTTTCATTACAGCCTCATTTACACCTCTCTAGTCTCCCTGCTCCCTCCAAGGAAAGTCAAGTTGCTGTGTTCTGCACAAACAGAATCTGGCATACAATATTCTAAGCCAGGCTTTCTCAGTTAAGCCTTGTCAGATGTCGTTTCCCCTGCACTGCCCACAGGGGGATATTATCAACCCATCCCCATCCCAACCTGGTGCTCCTATGTGCTATATGGTTATATAAATGCCCTTTGGGTAGGAACCATGGAAAGGCTGCCAGGCTAGACTCTGGTAATGGCAAGGGGGCTGGCAGAGATCACTTTTGAAACTGACTCCTGTACGGCAATAAAGTGATCCTAGCCTTGTTCTCAGAGCACGCTAATCCCTATCCCTTCCTGTGCACAGGAGGATAATGAGGGCTCTAGACACATAAACAGGCTCACAGATGGCTGGATGTCACACGTTTGGCAATTCTTACTTATGGACGGCTCCATGCTGTTGTCCTCTGGCGCTTCAGCCTGTGACATGTCTGAGAACTTGCTGGAGTGTTCCCATGGGGAGGAGAATCCTTTTCCTGTCACTTCTACCAACCTCCCTACCCCTTTTCCCTGCCTGAATCCACCCACACACAGGCATACACACACACAAACAATAAAGTTGTCAAATACATTTGAGAAAATGTAAGACATTGTGCCTAATCCAATGTTGCAATTCACTGATGAGGAGATGGTGTTAGGGAATCTACGTGGAGAGTTGAAAGATGACAGGACCTCTATGACCTCTTTGGAGAGTCCCCACAGAAACAAGGCAGCAAAAGCCACCAACCTACATCTCTGACACCAGTGCCCCTCTGAGAGGTTACTGTCTATCTAGAACTGTCATTCTCAAACTCTAGCATGCATCAACCTGACCTGGAGGGCTTGTTAAAACCCAGATTGCAGGGCCTTCCCAGAAGGCTCAGAATTTCTGATTCAGTAGGTCTGCAGTCAGCCTTAGTATTTACATTTTTAACAAGTTCCCAGGTGATTCGGATGCTGCTGGTCCACAAACCACTGACCTAGAAGATGTACTCAGCCCTAGAATATGGTAAATGAAGGAAAGTATTTATGGACCCTGATCACCCATTAAATAGGAAGATACAGACAAGGTGAACAGAGCAGGAAATTCTCAGCTGCCCAGTAGCAATAGTAAATGCGCTCTCTCAGGCAGCAGTTGGAGAAACTGCTGCCTGGACGTCTTCTGGCTGGAAGATCACGGAGCACAGGCTGGGGAGTTCTGTTTCTGGCTCTACAGAGCCTGGTTGCAGCACCCCAGTGTTTCATCCATCATCTACTCAGGATGCTGTCTATGTTGGTCTTCTCTGCTACACTGGTTGCCTTCAGGAATAAGGGCCAAGTTCTAGGTAAAGTCATTCTTTCTCTCTGAATCCCCAGTGCGGATGTAGCACCTGCTCCAAAGTATATCCTCATGACCTGTCAGCTAAATACAAGAACAAGCAAGTCTTTCTAGTTTATTCTGCTGCCAGGTAGCTGGCTGACCTTTCTGAGTCCAGCAGATGGTTGTGCTTAGCAGAAAGAGGAAAAGAAATCAGAGAGCAAATACCCAGCCCCATGTCTTTGTTCATGTTGTTATCCTTAGTATATACCTTATTCTTTTTTTTTTTTTTTTTTTTTTTTTTTTTGAGACAAAGGCTCCCTCTGTCTCCCAGGCTGGAGTGCAGTGGCATGATCTCGGCTCACTGCAAGCTCTGCCTCCCAGGTTCATGCCATTCTCCTGCCTTAGCCTCCCGAGTAGCTGGGACTACAGGCGCCCGCCACCGCACCCAGCTAATTTTTTGTATTTTTAGTAGAAACAGGGTTTCATCATGTTAGCCAAGATGGTCTCGATCTCCTGACCTCGTGATCTGCCCGCCTCGGGCTCCCAAAGTGCTGGGATTACAGGCGTGAGCCACAGCGCCCAGCTTATACCTTATTCTTTTTCTTGGCTTATTGAAATGCTACCAGCTTAAACTAACAGGGCATTTGTAATGGAAACACTTAGACCAGTCTGGCTTAAGTGTAGGGTAACTATAGAGATCATGGCGGAAAGGTGTGTAGAGGCCCCATGGAGGACAGCCGTAAATGCCAGGCTGAAGAATTTGCACGTAGGTCAGCAAAGGTGAGCCGGGAAAGATGTGGGCTGCAGGAGGGACGTGTAATCACAAGTCCTATCCTCAATTTTGCTCTTTTGTTTTTCTCTAAAAGTAAAATTATCATCTGATTCTGTATAGCAAATTTTTAAAAATAAAGATTTCCTCTGGATGGACATTCTCCTACTAATGCCCATTCATCAAACCCCTGAAAAGCTAATTGTCTGGACCAAGTCGAAGAGATTCAAGGTGAGAGGGGAGGTCTTCAGGAGAAGACAGAGAACACTACTCTTGGTGTCAAGGGAAGCAGGGTGTCTGCATAAACAGCAGGCAATTTCATCAGAACAAAAAGAACACTTACAGAATACATACTAAGTGGAAAGTATCAGAGAAGAAGGGGGAAACGGGCAATGATTAAATATATGCTTTATGCCCAGCATGGATTTTAACCAAAAAACTACACAGGGAATTAGACATTAATATTGTCATTTTGCTGATAAGGGAGTAGGCTCAGAGAGGTAAACAACCTCTCAAAATTCCCAAAACAAGTGACTGGTGGAAGTAGGATTCAAATCCTGATCTGTTGGATTCCAAAGTCTATCCACATTCTTCTGCTGGTCACCACCATCACACCTGGCTCCACAAAGATGGCCAAAATCTGGCTCTCATCTTGGAGTAGCTTGTTAACTACTAGAGAAGGTAACACACACGGACACTCAAATGTTAAATTAAAATGGCCAAATTGGAGGAGAGCCCTAAAGAAGGTACAAAGGGCTGAGCAAACTCAGACCAGGCGGGGATAAGTAATTTTCACCCAGAGGATACAGGAAGATTTTAATGGAAGACATGGCATTTGAGCTGCTTTGGGGGTTGGCCCAATTTGGGTAGGTAAGAAGATTGAAGAGAGGAGTACTGGGGATTCCAGGCAGCATAAAGGTGGAAAATGCTAGTTTTGCGGGGGATCAGGTAATGCATCATGAGAGAAAAATTTGCAAAGGAGAGCCAGGCAGGAGAGGATTTTGAAGATCACACTGAAGCACGCGTACTTTTCTGCAGGCAAGGGGGAGCCAATGCGCATGTCAGCACAGGGAAATGACGTGGTCTGAGCTGGGCTGAAGAGAGAAGAATGTGAAGGAGGCCAATGTTGGAGGGCTCTGTGCCTCTGCAGTGTTCAGGAACCTCTTAACTTTGCCTGAATGCAAACAGTGGGCAGTGAATGGGGTCTGAGCTGAGAATGAGGACCATTGAAGAGGCTGCATAAATAATTATGGATTTTAATTAGGATGAGAGCCCCTTGAGTTTTTAAGTAAGATCAGATGTGAGAGACAGCAGATTATTTGCATGTGGGACATACAATTGCTATGGGAGGAAATCAGTGAAGAAGGAAGTGAGGGTCGTCCAGAGCTCAGGGTAGCCCAGTTACTTCTTTTGCAGAGTGTTCTCTGGTTCGGAGTCCTTTTCAGATGTAAATAATTTCTCAACGAACTCTGAGGTCGTAGACTGTCACCAAGTGATATGGTTTGGCTGTGTCCCCGCCAAAATCCCGACTTGAATTGTATCTCCCAGAATTCCCACGTGTTGCAGGAGGGACCCAGGGGGAGGTAATTGAATCATGGGGGCCAATCTTTCCCGTGCTATTCTCGTGATAGTGAATAAGTCTCACGAGATCTGACGGGTTTATCAGGGGTTTCCGCTTTTGCTTCTTCCTCATTTTCTCTTCCTGCGGTCAGGTGAGGAGAGTTCTTCGCCTCGCGCCAGGATTCTGAGGCCTCCCCAGCCATGTGGAACTGTAAGTCCAATTAAACATTTTTTTGTTCCCAGATTCGGGCATGTCTTTATCAGCAGTGTGAAAACAGACTAACATACCAGGCCTAGGGCTGAAGATAGCGTATTCCTGGCTCCATTACTGGCTGCCCTTCAGTTTAAGGGCAGCGATTCAGCCACAGAGGAGGTGGGGCCACACTCAGTTGAGGCTGAAGATGGGGTTCTGAGCAGCTGGACTGACCTAGCAGTGGCCTTCGTTCATTTGCTGCTGGATTTATCACCCATCTGTGATTATCTCATCACCTTGTACAGCTCACACTCAGAGCTGGCCCTGATGGGAAACATATCTTCCCCAGCACCTTGGTAGATTAAGTTTCAGGGAATGTGTGGCACATCCCTTGGCTGTGACAGGACAAATGATGGATGACCAAAAGCTCATTTTCAAAATTACAAATTTGGCTAATTTTCATGATCCTGAAGAGGAAGGGTCGGGGGGCAGGGCAGGGAGAGAGGGAGAGGAAAAGAAAGACAGTCAGAGAGAGAGAAAGCAGTTTAAGATAGACTCCCAACTGTTGGTAAGATGGCCAAGATGGGCTGGATAAAGAACAGACTTGGGAAAGAATGTGACCGGCCAGCGCAGATTTATCCTGCAGCACCAGTACCTTCCTATGGCTAATTTCTATGGGAAGCATCAGGATTCTTGATCTAATCCTAAGTTTTACAGTGTTCAAAATGCTATCAAGCACAACTGGATTCTTGAGAAATCCTTGATTTTTGCCGTATTCAAAGTGCTTTTAAATGTGACTGATGTTAATTGAGCACCTAACATAGGCCAGGAACTGTGTATCAGAATTTTAATATGCAAATCTAATGTAATCCTTAGGACAACCCTGAAGGTTGAAATTTCTTCCCAGTTGTACGGATTCTCATTTGGGAGTTTAGGAAGGCTAAGTGACTTGCTCAGGAGTTGCTAATAAAATCTGCTATTTCCAAACACCTGTCGTTTCTCCTATAAGAAGCCACTTGCCAAGCCCTCTTCCTCATCTGTTGAAGAGCTCCAGATAATGAGAGAAAAGCAGCAGGCATCAGTATTGAGTGGGGCCACCACATCACACATCTCCAGGAGGCTTCTTCATGGATTAACAATATGCAATTCTTCCACCTGTTGTGAATCTTCTTTGCCCTAGAGCAGTGGTTAGCAAAGTTTTTCTGTAAAGGGCTGAGTGTTAAATATGTTAGGCTTTAGGGGCCTTATAGTCTCTTTGGCAGCTGCTCGACTCTGCTGTTATAGTGGAAAAGTAGCCATAGATAATAGGGAAGTGAATGTGTGGCTGTGTTCCAATAAAACTTTATTTATAAAATCAGGCCGTAGGCTGGATTTGGTCCAGGGGCCTGATCTGGCCCAGAGGTTGTACTTTGCTGTCCCAGCTTCAGAGGAAAGGCCAGCTTGAGGTAGATGCCTACCAGGAAGGCACTGAGAAGCAATTTTTCCTGAAAGCGAGGTCCTTCGGGATAATGTTAGTGTGAGAATGGAGACACAGAGTGCAAACCGATTGCTGAAGAGTCAAGTATGGTTTGCAGACATAATTTGTTTGGTTTATACTATGTTTAAGATTTTCCAAATTAGCTGCTTACATTTAAAGATTGGGAGAAGGCACATTAAACGCACTTGAAATTTCTGCATCTCATGAAAAATTGGAAGATCTTCTCTGGGGGGATTCCCTCACATTTCCCCATGGCAGTCATTGGCTGGAGCTGAGTGGAGGCTGTCCCCATTAGGCAGGCAGTGCCTGAGTGCTGCAGTTTACTACAAGTTCCATATGACCTGCATTCAAGTTCCCTGCTATTTCAGTTTGTGACCCATGTTTTACAGATACTTAGGTTTCAAAAATAAATGTTGTTATGTATAGGTAAGGTAGATGACATGATGCCATGAGATACATATAGATAGTAAAATGGTTACTATAGTAAAACAAATTAACATATCCATCAAGAATCTAAAAAAACAAGTGAAATATGCAGAGGTAGAGAATAAAACAGTGGTTACCAAGGGTGGAGGTGGGAGAGAAGGAAATGGGACGATGTGGTCAAAGGATAGAAAGCAGCAGATGAGGACACTTATTTTGCAGATAAGCATTAAATCCCAACTTTAGGTGGGCCCTCAGCTATCCTTATATTTTTGTCTTATTGCTTTTCTAATGCTAAAACTCCCATTCCTGGGCCAGGGAGGGGCTGATGATGCTGAAATAAGGTCCTCAATGGGATGCCTTTCTGGAACAGGAGGGGAGAGGGAAAGGCCAGGGGGTATAAGTAACACCTTAGAGAGCTCCAAGGATGAAGAGCACAGAAGCCAATTTCAAGCTCAAGGGAGGACCTTGACCTGGAGATGAGAGACAATGAAAAGGGCAACACCTGACCAGACACAGTGAGTGAGTAGTGAGCAGGGTGGGGCCTGGCAGAGTGGGTCTAGGGGGCTTGCAGCAGTGGGGCTGGGCTGGGGTGAGTCTGTAAAGGGTTTCCATTAGCTAATGCTAGGCAGCATGTGGGTAGACCAGCCTAATTCACAGACCAGGTTCCCAGACCTTCATTCCCGCGAGACTTGGCTGCCCGTCCCTGTGCTGGGTTCTGTGCGTGTTTTGTGATACATTAATGAAAATTAAGCATCTTAACAGAGTGCCTGGCATGATTTGATAAATGTGTTTGTTTTTTATTCATATCAGCATTTCCCCATCTGTTCATCTTTCCTCTTTACCCAGTGGATTAGTCCGTTTTTGCATTTCTATAAAGAGACACCTGAAGCCGGGTAATTTATAAAGAAAAGAGGTTTAATTGGCCCATGGTTTTTCAAGCATTAGAGGAAGCATAGCAGCTCCTGGGGAGGCCTCAAGAAGCTTCCAATAATGACAAAAGGTGAAGGGAAAGCAGGCACCTCTTTCCCGGCCGGAGCAGAGGGAAGGGAGAAGTGCCACACACTTCTAAACAACCAGTTCTCAGGAGAACTCACTCACTATTGTGACCAAGGGGGATGGTGCTAAACCATTAGGAACCGCCCCCATGATCAATTACCTCCCACCAGGCCTCACCTCCAACACTGGGGATTACAATTGAACATGAGACTTGTGTGGGGACACAGATCCAAACCATATCACCCGGCTTGCTTTTCAGGAAGAAGGGTCTCTCCTTCTTGCCTAAACTTAACTTTCGTCTTAAGCTACTGTTTTTTTTTTTCTCCTACCCATGTCTCCCTCTCTTTCTTGCCTCCATTTTGCTTCCAAACCTGCTCATGTCTCCCCACTCAAATCTCAAAAGAAATAGAGCCAATCTCCCTCAACCAGAGAAAGTTCTTATGCTTCTGTGTGGCTGCTCCCATTTCCTTTACCCTCACACATCTCAGAAGAGTGAGTTCAGACTCCCATGCCAGCAGTACCCATGTGTTCATCAGCCCCCTCCTAACTGCTGTCTCACAGCTGCTCTAGACCGTCTTTTCTGGGTACCTCTGCATGCCGCAGTCTGATATTTACATCCAATGGCTATTCCACAGGTGACATTTTTGGTTATTAATACCTTAATAATTGAAATAATAATTTGAATTTGTTGAACCTTTTGGTCTTCACACAGTGCTTTTACATATGTGGTCTCATGAACTCCTCTTAACGCAAATAGTATAATTCTCATATGTTGATGAAGAAATAGGTGCTGTGAAAGACTAAGTGACTGGTGTTCAGGTACCACCACCGGCTCACCTCCTTTGATCTCAGGTCTCACTCTCCTTCCCATTTCTTGTCCCTCTACAGTGATTGCTCTGTTCTGTTCTTCTATCTCTCCATTGGTGACTTCTCTGTCTCCATTGCCCAGGTCTCTTCTTCTTCCCAGGTTTTGCACTTAGACCATTCTCTGGATAGCCTCATCAGTTCCTATGGGTTCAATCACTGCCACTGTGATGGACTTTTAAATCTCTGCTCTATCACTGTGTGTCTTTGGTCCAGTTATTGACCCTCTTTTAGTATCAGATTCTTTATTTGACATATAAGCACATTGAGTAGTTGATATGCTTTTTACAGCTCCAACTTTAAATGAGATGAAGAATGTTAATTTTTAAACCAGGATCAATATGAAAGCATGAGATCTCATGAATAAGTTCAGCAAGGTTGTGGAATCAAGATCAATATAAAAAAATCAATTGTATTTCTATATACTAGCAAGAAGTAATCCAAAAATTAAGCAATTCAATGTAAAATAGCACCAAAAGAGATAAAATACTTAAAAATAAATTTGACAAAAAGTGCAAGACTTCTACACTGAAGACTACAAAGCATTGTGAAAATAAAGATGTAAATAAATGAGACATTCTGTACTCATGGATGAGAAGTTTAGTATTGTTATGATGGCACTATTGCCCAAATTGATCTAAAATTCAACACAATCAGTATCAAAATACCAACTAGGCTTTCTTTTGTAGAAATTGACAAGCTGATTCTGAAATTCATATGAAATTGCTTGAGACCCAGAGTAGCCAAAATCTTGAAAAAGAACAAAGTTAGAAAACTCATACTTCCTGATTTCAAAACTTATTCAATAATCAAAACAGTGTGATAGTGGCATAAAGATAGCTATATAGACCAATGGAATAGAATTTATAGTCCAGAAATATACCATAAATCTATGGCCATTGATTTTTTACAAGGCTGCCAAAAAGAATTTAATGGAGAAATTAGTCTTATCAACAGATGGTATTGAGACAACTAAATATCCACATGCAAAAAGAATGAACTTGGACTCATTACCTTAAATAATACATAAAAATTAACTCCAAATGGATAAGAAAAGTAAGAGCTAAAACTATATCTCTTAGAAGAAAACAGTAAATCTTTTTTTTATTATTATACCTATTAACTCATCATTTACATTAGGTATTTCTCCTAATGCTATCCCTCCCCCTGCCCCCCACCCCACGACAGGTCCTGGGGTGTGATATTCCATGCCCTGTGTCCAAGTGTTCTCATTGTTCATTTCCCACCTATGAGTGAGAACATGCAGTGTTTGGTTTTCTGTCCTTGTGATAGTTGGCTCAGAATGATGGTTTCCAGCTGCATCCATGTCCCTGCAAAGGACATGAACTCATTCCTTTTTTATGGCTGTATAGTATTCCATGGTGTATATGTGCCACATTTTCTTAATCCAGTCTATCATTGATGGACATTTGGGTTGGTTCCAAGTCTTTGCTATTGTGAATAGCAAAAAACATACATTGCATGTGTCTTTATAGTAGCATGCTTTATAATCCTTTGGGTGTATACCCAGTAATGGGATCGCTGGGTCAAATGGTATTTCTAGTTCTAGATCCTTGAGGAATCGCCACACTGTCTTCCACAATGGTTGAACTAGTTTACACTCCCACCAATAGTGTAAAAGTGTTCCTATTTCCCCACATCCTCTCCAGCATCTGTTGTTTCCTGACTTTTTAATGATTGCCATTCTAACTGGTGTGAGATGGTATCTCATTGTGGTTTTGATTTGCATTTCTCTAATGACCAGTGATGATGAGCATTTTTTCATGTGTCTGTTGGCTGCATAGATGTCTTCTTTTGAGAAGTGTCTGTTCATATCCTTTTCCCACTTTTTGATGGGGTTGTTTGTTTTTTTTCTTGTAAATTTAAGTTTAGTAGATTCTGGATGTTAGCCCTTTGTCAGATGGGTAAATTGTAAAAATTTTCTTCCATTCTGTAGGTTGCCTGTTCACTCTCATGGTACTTTCTTTTGCTGTGCAGAAGCTCTTTAGTTTAATTAGATCTCATGTGTCTATTTTGGCTTTTGTCATCATTGCTTTTGGTGTTGTAGACATGAAATCCTTGCCCATGCCTGTGTCCTAAATGGTATTGCCTAGGTTTTCTTCTAGGGTTTTTATGGTTTTAGGTCTAATATTTAAGTCTTTAATCCATCTTGAATTAATTTTTGTATAAGATGTAAGGAAGGGATCCAGTTTCAGCTTTCTACATATGGCTAGCCAGTTTTCCCAGCACCATTTATTAAATAGGGAATCCTTTCCCCATTTCTTGTTTTTGTCAGGTTTGTCAAAGATTAGATGGTTGTAGATGTGTGATATTATTTCTGAGGCCTCTGTTCTGTTCCATTGGTCTATGTGTCTGTTTTTGTACTAGTACCATGCTGTTTTGGTTACTGTAGCCTTGTAGTATAGTTTGAAGTCAGGTAGCATGATGCCTCCAGCTTTGTTCTTTTTGCTTAGGATTGTCTTGGCAGTGCGGGCTCTTTTTTAGTTCCATATGAACTTTAAAGTAGTTTTTTTCAATGCTGTGAAGAAAGTCATTGGTAGCTTGATATGGGGATGGCATTGAATCTATAAATTACCTTGGGCAGTATGGCCATTTTCACAATATTGATTCTTCCTACCCATGAGCATGGAATGTTCTTCCATTTGTGTGTGTCCTCTTTTATCTCATTGAGCAGTGGTTTGTAGTTCTCCTTGAAGAGGTCCTTCACATCCCTTGTACATTGGATTCCTAGGTATTTTATTCTCTTTGTAGCTATTGTGAATGGGAGTTCACTCATGATTTGGCTCTCTGTTTGTCTGTTAATGGTGTATAGGAATGCTTGTGATTTTTGTATATTGATTCTGTATCCTGAGACTTTGCTGAAGTTGCTTATCAGCTTAAGGAGATTTTGGGCTGAGACGATGGAGTTTTCTAAATATACAGTCATATCATCTGCAAACAGGGACAATTTGACTTCCTCTTTTCCTAATTGAATACCCTTTATTTCTTTCTCTTGCCTGATTGCCCTGGCCAGAACTTCCAACACTATGTTGAATAGGAGTGGTGAGAGAGGGCATCCCTGTTGTGTGCCAGTTTTCAAAGGGAATGCTTCCAGTTTTTGCCTATTCAGTATGATATTGGCTGTGGGTTTGTCATAAATAGCTCTTATTATTGAGCTATGTTCCATCAATACCTAGTTTATTGAGAGGAAAACAGTAAATCTTAATGACTTTGGGTTAGCAAGTGGTTTCTTAGTTATGACAGCAAAAGTACAAGCAATGAAAGAAAAAGTGGATAAATTGGACTTCATTAAAATTTTAAAACTTTGGACTATTAAAAGTCCAAAGAATTGGATAAAGTACTTGCAAACCACCTATCTGAAAACAGACATATCCAGAAAATACATATAATGATACAACTCAATAATAAAAAGATAATCCATTAAAAATGGGAAAATGGTTTAAATAGACATTTCTCAAAAGAAGACACACAATTGGCCAGTAAGAACATTAAAAGATGCTTAGTATCATAAGTCACTAGTAAAATGCAAATCAAAACCACAATCAGATCCTACTTTACATTCATTAGGATGGCTATAATAAAATAGACCACAACAAGTGTTGGTGAAGATGTGGAGAAACTGAAACTCTCATACATTGCTGGTGGGAATGTGGTGCAGTCTGTTTGGAAAACAGTTTGGCAGTTTTTTGAAAAGTGAAACATAGATCTAGATATGACCCGGTAGTTCAACTCGAGTAATTCAAGATAGAGAAATGAAAACACAGTTCTATACATACACATAAGTATGTATGAATGTTCCTAGCAGCATTATTCATTATGCCCTAATACCCAAATGTCCGTTTACTAAAAAATGGATAAACGACATGTGGTACAGCCGTACAATGAACTATTATTTGGCAATAAAAAGTAATTCAGTTCTGATACATGCTACACTGTGAATAAACCTGGAAAACATCATGCTAAGTCAAAGAAGCCAGTCACAAAAGACCACATATTGTATAATTCCATTTACAGGAAATGGTCAGAATAGGAAAATCTAGAACAGATAGATTAGTGGTTGCCTTGGGGCTGGAGTGGTTGTTTTGGAAGTAAGAATGACTGCTAATGGGATTTCTTTTGGGTGCTGAACATACTCTAAGCTCAAATTGTCATCGTGGTTGCACAACTCTGATTATATTAAAAACCATTGACTTGTACACTTTAAGTAGAACTATAATATGTGAGTTATATCTCACTGAAACTGTTTAAAAATGAATATGTAAGGATTATGATGATGATTAATATCATTATTCAAAAATTATTCTGGTATTTATATGGTTTTCAGAGTTACAGCTAGCTTTTCCTAAGACGGTGGTTTACTTGGGAATCATTTCTGCTCTTAACCAAGAATTCAAGTTGACTGTAGTGTTCTAGAATGAAAGATACCTCCATGTGAATCATCACTCTGCTACTATCCAAGTGTGTGACATTGGACAATTTTTTTAACCTTTCTAAATCTCAACTTCTCTACTTCCCACAGACAAGGATAACAATACTATCTGAGCAATGTTAAACAACAGATGTACTTAGAAGCATTTAACATAGAGCCTGGAACATATACCTGCTCAATAATTGTTATTTTCATCTCTTGTTTCAGAAAAGCATCTCCAGCCTGTCTGAAGCAGGTAGACAGCATTGTGAGGGGTTGTGTGCGCAAAGTTATCTCTGGAGTGGGGGAGCCTCTGGCATAGGCCAAACTTCTTTCCATGGGGTATGTTTGGAGATTTATAGATAGACACAACACGAATAAATGCAATTTCCATATATAATATATAAGTGTGGAAATGCAATTTCCACACTTACAATATCAAGGTTAATGAAAGAATCACATTAGTTAAGGTATGAGCTTTATCAATGGGTTACTTATTCTATGAAGGAGTAATTAAATGGACATCATAGGGTGGTGTTCAGAGCCTGAAACTTTTCTTCGCAGAAGGCTTTGAAGGTTAGGACAACTGGATTTCCCCAGGAAGAGTGGTGAAGTGGATGGAATAATTGCCTGGGGTTTTCTTCCTGACTTTGCTCAATCAATAACATAATGTAGTCTGAAAGGAGCTATGTTAACCCTGTAGCTCAGTTTTCCTTTCTGCTAACTGGGAGCTGAACTTCTTCCCTCTGGGAGAAGACTGTTGTGAAACACTCTGACCTGTGTGGAGAGACGACCTCGGATTGGAAACAAGGTTTCATTGCAGCATTATTGTTTTCCATTCCTAATTTCTGTAATTTGGTGGGAATGTGTAATTATAGCATAAAGACATAATTATTTAGGCCTTGCCTGGCAAGTCACATGGGTATTCCATTTAGATATAAGTAGGATATTTTTGCATAATAACCCACAGAAATCTGCATTAAATTGCTGTGGCCGACTTGCATCTTGTCATGCCCCTCTGTTCAGCCTGGGCTGTCTGGCGAGGACTATTTCTCAGCCCCTGTGCTCCTACTACTAGGGTGCCTGGGTTTCATGACCACATGTCTATAGTGGGAAGTGGAATCTACTCTAGTCATAGCTGTCAGAGCGAGCACTGTAGCCATGGGCTTCCTGTAGTTGGACCCTGGGGCCGGGAGCTCTCTGCGCCTTCACACATTCAACAAATACATACCAGGCATCTACTATGAGCTAGACACTGAGGTGCTGGGAATACATCACTGAATGAAAAAAAGAAGTCAAAAACCACTCTTCATCTGTTTGTGTTGGGGGGTGATGATATAGATAAGACACAAAATATTAAAAAACATGATGCGTTAGATGGTAATAAACGCTATGGAGAAAAATAGGAAAGAAATTCTGGACGCAGTAGCTCATGCCTGTAATCCCAGCACTTTGGGAGGCCAAAGTGGGTGGATCTCCTGAGGTTATGACTTCGAGACCAGTCTGACCAACATGGCAAAACCCCGTCTCTACTAAAATTACAAAAATTAGCTGGGCGTGGTGGCAGATTCTTGTAATCCCAGCTACTCAGGAGGCTGAGGCAGGAGAATCTCCTGAATCCAAGAGGCAGAGGTTACAGTGAGCTGATATTGCACCATTGCACTATAGCCTGGGTGACAACAGCAAAACTGTCTCCAAAGCAAGCAAACAAAACAAAAAAAAATAGTAAAGAAATATGAGGAAATATTACCAAAAATGTCACATTTGACTAAAGAGCTGAAGAGATGAGGTGGTGACCACCCAGGCAAATCTGATGAAAGAACATTCCAGACAGAGGGTCTGGAAATGAAGAGACCCTGGGGTGGGAGTGTGCTGGAGACCAGTGTGGCTCTGTGGAAGAGAGCAGGGGGAATTGTGGTGGGAGTTGAGGTCAGAGAATGATGGGGGTGGGATTGAGGATTGTGGGGCTTGGTAAACTATGAACCACAGGCCAACTCCAACTTGTCACTTGTTTTTATGAATAAAGTCTTATTGGCACACATCCATGTTCATTTGTTTATAAATCATGTATAGCTACTGTAGCTACAGTGGTGAGGTAGGTAGTTGCAACACAGACAGTATGCTTTGCACAGCTTAAAATATTTGCTGTCTGGCCCTTTACAGAAAAGGTTTCCTGGTCCCTGGGATAGGGTATTGGTGGCATCATTTCCTATCTTCTCCACGTCCAACCGTGTATTTGGGACACAGAGTGAAAGAGTATATGCCCTCAAAGTGCCAACAGTGGAGTGGGGTGACAGGCGATTAAAACACAGTTCCATGCTCTCATGCATTGTTCTGGGGTTGCAGAACGGGACAGCCAATTTGGAAAACTGTTTCTCCGTACTTAGTAAAGCAAAACATATTGATGTATTATGATCCAGCATTTCTACTCCTGAGTTTATACCCAACAGAAATGAGTGCTTATGTCTTCTAAAAGGCATACATAGGAAGTTTCCTAGAAACTTAATTCATAATAGCCTCAGAATGGAAATAAAGTTAATCATCTATCAACCTTTGAAAGGATAGATAAATTGTGATGTGTTAATACAGTGAAATATTATATAGCAATGAAAAATAAATGCTACGTGCATACATTCATGAATTTCAGAGTGTTAAATGAAGAATTTAAACTTTAAAGAACACATATTGCATGAGTTCATGGATATGAAGTTCAAAAACAGGCAAAACTGATCTATTTGGATAGAAGTCAGAAGAGTGATTCTCTTTGATTATCTAACTGGGAGAGGCACAAGGCAGACTTCCTGGAGTTTCAAAAGCTATATCTTGATCTGGGGGTAGATATATCATCGTATACAGAGTCAGATATACATGGATCATTACACTTAGGATTTGTGCACTCTGCTATATATAAATTAGGCCTCAATAAGAAATGAAAATGCATATTCACTACCATGAAAGCTTGTATAAAGTTCTATGACAATGTGGGAAAATGGGACTAAATGCATGGGAGAGGCTGGAACGATTCATATTGGAGCCGAATTTTGAGGTTAAGAAATTGTTTTCCAGGGCAGACCAGAGTGAAAAAAAAAAAGTCCTTCAGGGAAGAAACAGCATATGAAAAATCTGAAAAACAAAGCTTATTTGGGGAATTCTAGGAGAGTAATGCTGTTAATCAAATACAACACATTCTCCTTTCCTCCTGCTTCCTATTCAGCTTTCATTTTGTTTGCATTTTGTTTTTATTTCATTCAGTTACACCTGTTAACATAAAAAGTTGTATCTGGTTCCTTTGGTAATTTTATGAAAATATTTGTATACCATAAATCTCTCCCTTTCATAGTGTACAATCCAGTGATTTTCAGTAAATTCATAAGATTGTACAATCACCACCACTCTAATTCCAGAATAATTTCATCACCTCAAAAACAAACTCTCTATCATGAGGACTCACCAGCAGCCAATTCTCCTCTCCGTTAGTCCTTGGTAACCACTAATCTTTCTACTTCTATAGATTTGTCTATACTAGACATTTAATATAAATTATACACTATCTGACCTTTTGCATTGGGCTTCTTTCACTTAGCACCATATTTTCAAGCTTCATACATATTATAGCATAATTGAATAACAATTTATTATGTAGATGTACCACATTTCATTTAGCCATTTGTCAGCTGATGGACATTGGGCTGTTTCCACTTTTATAATAATAATGCTACTATGAATATTTTTGTACAAGTTTCTTTGTGGAACTATATTTTAAATTTTCGTTGGTATGTATCTAGGAGTAGAATTGTTGAGCAATATGGTAACTGTATGTTTCACTTTTTGAGAAACTGCCACACTGCTTCCAGAGTGGATACATCCTTTGTATTTCCACCAGCAACGTATGAGGGTTCCAACTTCCCAACATCTTCACCAAGACTTGTTATTGTCTTTTTTATTATAGCCATCCTTGTGAATGTGAAGTAGGTTCTCATTGTGATTTTGATTTGCATTTCCTTAATAACTAATGATGGTGATAGTAATTGGCCATGCTTATCTTTGTATATCTTCTTCTAGAGAAATATTTTTTCATGTCCTTTGCCCATTTTTAAAAAACTTGGCTATTTGTCTCTTTATTGTTGAATTTTAAGTTATTTGTATGTTGTAGATACTATCAGATAAATGATTTTAAAATATTTCTCATATTCTTTGAGTTTCTTTTTCACTTAATTTTTTATTTGGTGCACAAAAGTTTAATTTTGATGAAGTTCAGTTTCTCTATTTTTTCTTTTGGTGCATGTTGCTTTTGGTGTCAGATGCAAGAAGCCATTTTCTAACCCAACATCATAAAGATGTATGGTTTTGTTTTCTTCTAAGAGTTTTATAGTTGTAGTTCTTACTTTTAAGCCTTTTATTCATTTTTAGTTAATTTTTATATATACAGTAAGGTTGCAGTTGGTCCAAGTTCATATTTTGCATGTGGATGTCCTATTGTCTCAACACCATTTATTAAAAAGGCTATTCTGGTCAAGCATGTTGGCTCATGTACATAATCCATCACCTTAGTAGGCCAAGGTGGGAGGATTGCTTGAAGCCAGGAGTTCAAGACCAGTCTGGGCAACATAGCAAGACCCCATGTCTACTTTTTTTTTTTTTTTAAATTAGCAGGGTTTGGTGGTGCATGCTTGTAGTCCCAGCTACTCAGTAGGCTGAGACAAGAGGATCATTTGAACCCAGGACTTCGAGGTGGCAGTGAGCCATGATTGCACCACTGGACTCCAGCCTGGGTGACAGAGCAAAAGCTAATCCCCCCAAAAAAAATATATATATATATATATATAAATATAAAATATATATAAATATAATATATATAAATATAAAATATATATAAATATATATAAATATAAAATATATAAATATAAAATACATATATATAAATATATATATGGAATGTGTCGTCCAACTTTGCTCTTTCCAAGATTCTTTTGGTTATTCTGAAACCCTTGAATGCCTGTAGTATTTTTAGAATCAGCTTAGCAATTTCTATTAAAGCCAGTGGGAGATTTTGATAGAGATTGCATTCATCTCTAAATCTATTTGGGCTTAATTGTCATCTTAACAATATTAAGACTTCCAATCCATGAACATGAGATGTATTCTCATTTATGTAGATCTTCATTAATTTTTTTAACAATGTTTTTCTAGATTACAGTGTACATGTATTGCACTTCTTTTATTGAATTATTCCTGTTATTTGATAATATTGCAAATTTGAATTATTTGAATTATTTTTTTTAGTTTCAGATTGTTCATTGCTAGTATATAAAAATACAGTGGACTTTTGTGTTTATCTTGTGCCCAATATATATTATTGCTTTTTGCAATAATATATATTTGCAATAATATTTGCAACCCTTTAGTATTTCTTGTTAAGTCAGGTCTGCTAGCAAGAAATGATCAGTTTTTGTTTATCCAGAAATGTCTTATTTTATCTTTCATTTTGGTGCAGTTTTTTATTTGACAATTTTCTGAGAATAAGGCTTTGAAAGAGCCACATCCTCTTTTGCTCCCCTCACTGGATGCCAGAATAGTGGTTTTCATTGTGAATCTATCTGATCAGTTATTTTTCAAGATGAATATAGAGCTGGAGAATGGGCAGAGGAACTAGGACAAGTTAAAATGCCACAGAGCTTACTGTTCTTACTGAGATTCTGCCAGTTTTCTTGCATAAGTGATCCCCGGATTTCTGCAAACTTTTAGCTAACTTCCAGCCTTCTGAAAAAGTTAATTGTTTTTCAAGTTTTTGCCAGTTTTCTCATTGCTTTTATGAAGGAGGGAATTTTCAGAGGGCCTTAATGTGCAATTTTTGATCTTCTTCAACTTTTTTCAATGTGTTTGTGGCAGGAATACTGAAATGTGCCAAAAAGACCTGATGGTCTAGTTAGAGAAAATATGTGTACAACTATTATAGAGCAATGAAGAATGCTTTAGTATCCTCCTAGCCAATTTGTTGTCCAAGGACCAGTAGCATTGATAGTAGTGGGAGCTTATAAGAAATGCAGAGTCTCAGATCCCTCCCAGACCTGCTGAAATTTAATATTTTAACAAGATCCTTAGATGATTCACATGCACTTTAAAGTTTGAGAAACACTAGTGTCATGTACTTCTTATGCAATGCCAGCTGCTGCTACCTACAACCCCTCTAGTCTAGTAGTGTAGCACAACACATTTATTTCTCACTCCCATTGTATCCAATGTGGGTGGGTGGAGACTCTCTTCCATCTGGTGGCACAGGAATCCAGGTTCTCTTAACTTTGTGACAGTACCATATAAACACATAGCTTCCAAGTTTTCCCCCCAGAAGATAGAGATGGAGCTAGCAGGCTGTCTCTTAAATGTCTCAGCCGAGCAGTGATACAGAAAACTTCTGCTCAGGGTCCGTTTGCATGAACTAGTCACATGGCTTCAGTCTATCTGCAAGTGGTTGCAGAATGTGGAGATGGAAACCTGGACTATTTGCTAAGCACTATCTCTGCCGCTCTCCTTCACGAGATCCACATGATCAAACAGGGATGTTGATAGGAAGGAAGTCCATTTTTAGGGAAATCATAGAGATGGTTAAAAAGAAAGTATAATTGGCTGGGCATGGTGGCTCACACCTGTAATCCCGGCACTTTGGGAGGCCGAGGTGTGTGGATCACGAGGTCAGGAGATCGAGACCATCCTGGCTAACATGGTGAAACCCAGTCTCTACTAAAAATATAAAAAATTAGCCAGGCATGGTGGCCAGCGCCTGTAGTCCCAGCTGTTTGAGAGGCTGAGGCAGGAGAATGGTGTGAACCTGGGAGGCGGAGGTTGCAGTGAGCAGAGATCGTGCCACTGCACTCCAGCCTGGGTGACAGAGCGAGACTCTGTCTCAAAAAAAAAAAAAAAAAAAAAAAAGAAGTATAGTTTTGGTGTGGGGCTTAGAAGATGTACTAAGTTTAAAAGTTAAACAAGCAGAAGAAGGTGGTTATTAGAAGAAAGGAGTTAGTTAAATACACAGTATTCTAGGAAAAAGAACTGGCTATCAAACTTCATTCAGAGAGATACGTGGTGGAGATATTTCAGAAAATCTCCTGTTCTCATTTATAAACTTGAGTGAAAATTTTGCAGTACAGCCTTTTTGAGAGTTTGATTTGCATAGATTTGATGACTTAGAAGTGTGAATTCTGAAACTGTTTGCCATGATCAATTTACAGACATTATAAAAGTGAACATACATCCTTACCCATCTGCACAGGGAGGGGCAATGGGACACAAAGTAATTAATGTAACACTGGGCATTTGGAGGTTATAGTTCTAATCCCAATTCTGTTAGACATCCACTGTGCAATTTTGAGCCCGACCTATAATTCTGCTGAGCCTTATGAGAAGTTGACACAAACTAGTGGTTCTCAACCCTGGCTGCACATGAGAATCATCCATGACACATTCAAAAATTAGCAGACTAAGGGAAACACTTCAGGATGGGATCAAGTCACCTGTGTAAAAGCTAGATTAAGAACCCCTAGTCTATCCCAGTGGTCCTCAAACTTTAATGTGCATGTAGATCACAGAAGGCTTTTGTTAAAATGGAAATTCTGAGTCTGTGGGCCTGGGATGTGACCTGAGAATCTGTACTTCTAATAAGCTCCTGGGTGATGCTGATGCTGCTAGACTCAGATCCCCTCAGGCCTAGATAATCTGAAATCATTCATCAATTTCAGTCAAAAGGCTGTTTCTTTCTTTTCCAACTTAATCAAATTGGCCAGTGATTTTAGCACAGTCTAAAAGCAGGCTGGGCAGGCTCAAGCAGAGAAGCCTCTGGAGGGAGAAGTAAAATGTCTGTACTCAAAGGCTAATCCATTGCCCACTCCGAGGCATCAACGAGGTACGAGCGGGCACTGCTCATCTCTCATGTCAACACTGCCCATACAGCGAGGGCAGGTGACGCTGCCTCTGGAGACACTAGACAGACTGATCAAGGATCAGAAGGAGCGAGAGTTAGGTCATGAATCATACAAGCTGTGCTGTGCTACTGGCAAACAAGGCAGGGAGGAAGGGTGAGACTGGGGGACTCGCATCCAGTTAGCACCCAGGAATCCAGCCAGTGACTTTCTCATGCACTATGCCATTTATTCTTTATAAAAATCCCCAAGGCTGGTATTATTAACCTCATTTTCTGGATTAGAAAATTGTGGCTCAGAGAAGGTAAATTGCTTGTCAGCCAAGAAAGCATCTGTGTGACACCCAAGCCCACCCTCTTTCCATTACAGCAAACTAAAGAGTGTCTTCTATTTTAAGTCACGTTGATGGTGGGTAGGGGAACTGGGGTGCTATGTCCCTCATTTATGGTCAGTTCATCAGATGAACTGTAGTGTTATTCATGTAGTGTTTCTTTCTAATATTTTCCAACATTTATAGTTTATCTACAGATAAAAAGACAAGAAATGATCTATAAATGGAAGCTGTGGAAAAGGAAGCAGTCCAAAAATGGTTGTGAATGTTTTCCTGGCTGTCACCATCCTCTGAAATTTACCATTATCAAGGCCAGAAAAAGCAAAGACATATAATGCGATATGATTTTGATATATTACACAATATATATTTTCTTCTACTCCTTGGCCCTACTCCATTCCAACTAGGCTTTGCTGAGTGGGATTTCCAAGTAGGATAAGCTAATTCTGTTCTTCAGGGCATTTGCGTCCTTTATTCTCTCAGGTACTCCTGTGGTTCCTTCTCTCACCTTTCCATCTGAGCTCTGATGCCAACACTTCAGAAAACACTTTTCTGACCAGCCTATCTGAAATAGCCTTCCCCATACCAGCCACCCCATAATTCTCAATACTCCAACCTCGTTTTCTTTTTTATAGAGTTCGTGACTACTTGATCTTATACATTATGTATTTTAAAAACCTGTTTACTCACTGTCTCGCCCATTTACCAGAACAATAGTTTGCAAACTTACTCTGAAAGGACAAGATAAATATTTTAGTCTTTGCTGGCCATATGGTCTCTGTTGCAACAACTCAGCCCTGCTGTTGTAGCAGTCATAACAATATGGAAATGAATGGGCGTGGCTGTGTTCCACTAAAGCTGCATTTACAAAAACAGGCAGTAGGCGAGGCTTGGTCTGCAGGTCATCATTTGCTGACCCCTCTCTAGAAAATAAGTCTCATGAGAACATTGTCTGTCTTGTCTCCCATAATATTTCCAATACTAAAAGTCAGTGCTTAGCAACTAGAGTGTTTAATTGATTTATTTTTGATTGAACAAATCAACAAATGAGTGAATCCATTACTCCAGGGAATGGGGACTACAGGAGAACTTAGGTAACAATATAAAGTAAATTATGAGCTTTTAAAACTGAGATCCCATGTGCTAAAGACAGCGTGATATCTCTGCTACCATGTCCTGTCTTGACTCTTAAAAGGTGAATTTTAAAAGACAAATAAATATTGGGGAGATAGAGCCAGACAGTAATACTGATGTGGATCTCTATAAAGGGACCCTGTCCCCTGCTCTTTTTGGGCTGAGCATAGCCAATAGCTGAAGGTTTGAGTTGCCAGACCCTTCAGAGAGCTTTGGGGATCTAAGAATAAAGGAGTGTCCCTCTCCACCTTATTTAGGCTTGGGGAGCAGGGGAATGCTGAACAGAGCAAAAGAGAAATAGAGATGACTAATTGGATGATGTGACAAAAAAACTAGTTGTCCTTACAATACTTGTGCCAATATGGCAAGGGCCAAGGGTCAATGGGTCATCATGCATCTAAAAGCAGCTCAGCCTTGATATATGCCTGGAGTGGTCTTGAGGTTGGAATGAGGATGCTGTCTCAGAGACCAGCTTGGACCACTGATCTGAATTCTGGATGGACTGTGGCCTTCTTAGCTGAAGCCAGCATAAAGTAGATCCCAATCTCATGATAGTATGAAAGACCTGCTTCCTGAGCTCATGATCTATATAGTTACGTAGCGTTCATTCTTAGAGGTCCTAGTGGTTGGTTTAATGCTCTGCTATTACTGTCCTGAAATTCTTAATGATTTTTGAACAAGGGGCCTGACAAATTATGCAGCCGTCCCTGGCTCTACGTAGACATAATCAACTTAGACCCAAACCCAAGGAGAGAAGGAGGTTATTCCATGACTGTACCGAGAAAACTTTGAATGGACTCAGTTTACTCTAAATTGTCAAAGTCTTTTCCAAGGAGCAGAATGGGATCTGGAAGCAGATTCATTAGCTATAGAAAAATAAAACAACTTGACGTTCTGCCAGTGTGCATTAGTGGGCCAAGATCTGTGGTCTCTACTGATGGGGAGAAAGAGGGCTACAGAGAGATGCTTAGATAATTTCTAGCAGATTATTTGAAATCCCTGTTGCGTTTTATTTCTTTGTGAAAGTATTAGGAAACTGTATTCTCAGTCTCTGAGAGACTTTTCCAGAATTATCCTGTGTTGGTGTGAGGCATCTGGGTCATTTTGGAACTCTGGGGAACTGCCTAGTTGTCATTCCTTGCATAGTCTTTATGAGTGAAGCAAAATCTATATATACTGAAGAACTCTAAGCTTTAGGCCTAAGATCAAAAATTGGTTTGTATTGAATAAGCAGACTATGTAGCACACAAGCTGCTGCCCAAAAGAGAGAGGATGAGGCCAGTCTGGAGTCAGTAGGAGAATGCCGGGATGGGGAGACATGACCAGTGGCAGCTAGCAGATCATTTGACATTGAGAGTAACTCTCATCCATGTCCATTCTGGATGAGATAGACTCACCACTCTAGATGACTGGAAAATGGGCATAGCATAATATCAAGTCTTATAATTGTGCTATTTTAGAGAGGTTATGTATTCCTAGGTCATGGGGGCTCAAATTTGCATAATAATTCAGCCATCAACTAATCTGGAGTATTACAACAGCCTGGCAAGGCTTTGTTTTCATGATTTCTCTCCAGCACTATTGAAAGACTTATTTGGATGACTTTCCTGGAATCTTACATAGATTCTACACGTTAGGGTTCTGGTTTGTGAAAACACACTCTGCATCTAGAAGAGAGCATTTTGGAAAACTTTGATGTTTCTGCAGGCACAAGGGCAGTCTGGGGGCCTGTACTGCCCTCCTGTATCCAGGAACCTTGGATAGGCAAGAAAGGGCAGGTAGCATATGTGATGGGCTACTGTCTACATTGAGTTCATGCAGATTAACTCTTGGAGGACTTGCAGTGAGTCCCTCGAAACAATCTATCTAAAATACACATATGATTATGGCATGGCCCTGATGTTGAGTTTTGATGTCACCCAGTTGTCTAATGGGTCACATGTAAAGTCCTCAGCTTGGCCACTGAGCTCCACCATGGTCTAACCCCTGCCTACCCTCCACTCTCCTTGCTGACTTTGCTGTTTCCTTCCTCTAAGTCTTTTCTTGTGCTGTTTCCTCTGCATGAACTATCTTTTCCTCTTCTGCTGGGTGATAACTTCTCCATTTTTTTTCTCCTCTTAAGTCCCACTAACCCATTCAAGCACAACTGCTACCTCCCTCATTTGGGCCAACATTGTATCTCATAAATACCTTTATTAATGGCCCATTCTCATTCTGCTGCCAGGATTGCAATCTCGGAGCTTCATCAGGGCAAGGACCAAGGAAGTTTTTCCCACCACCTGGCTTGATGCATGATAGGCTCTTAATAAATATTTGTTGAATGAATGAATGAACTCTTGTCAGACTGTGAGCTCTGAGGACAGAGGACTATGCTTTTTTACTTGGGTATTACCAACATCTCACACAGTGTCTGGATGTAGTTATTGCTTGTTTATAGAATACATATGCAATTAAAGGAGCACGTCTTCTTTTTGGTAGTAGCAAATGGCTAGACATTCAGTAGAGTGTAGCCACCTTAGGCAGAAACACGGAGGCAGCACAAGTGCCACTACCAGGCAGTCCCCTCAACCAACTTAAACCTAAGACCTTTTTGACATCCTTTAATTGATCATCAGCCTTTGATTGCATAGGTAGACGTTTGTTTTGAGGAGGGTAATCGTATATCCTGCTAGCCTGGGATAGCACTGGTTAATGCCTAGTATCTTGGATTATTCTTTAATCCCCATTTATTCCTCAAAGTGTCCTATTTTGGAAGATAAATCATATGGCCACCCTAGTTGTGTGTTAAGTGATAGGCACATACATTATAGGTATCAAGTTATTAATGTTTCCATAAAGTCCAAAATATACCACCTGATGAAGCTTGTAATGAGGTAAGAGAGATGAGAAAAATGCTCACAAATTGAAATGCATTGAAGCATCACTAGGTGAGTAAATGAGGTTGCATATGACAGTGTCCATGTGTTTGTGAGCTCTAGGAAAAGCTTCAGGGAGAATGACACTGGAGAAGAGCCCTGAAGAATGAAGAAAAGACTGTGCTTCCAACAACTGAAGTTTTTTTTTTACTTTTCCCGAAAGAACCTGGAGCAATCCTGTCTTGGTTCATGCTGGCATTTTCTCCTGCCCTGTTTTTCTGCCTTTGCTTGCAGTGTCTATACCTTCCAGAGTGTTTTTCCTGCTTTTATGCATTTATCTCAATGTGATTCATCTTTTGTGACCCAGGTTGAACCCCAGAGTTCGGGGTCCCTCCCATTCATGGTGATTCCTGGATATTTCAACTCCTGTGGACCTTAAAACCCATTTTAACTAGCTTGTCACTTACCATATGGTACCTTCTAGTTTTCTTTCCATTTGTAACATCTTTCCTTAATCCAGGAAAAAGTAAATCTTCTGGTGAGAATCAGAAAGGTTTGGCTGGAGGAACAGAGACTAGAAGCCAGTAACCCTGGAATGGCTGTGGCAGAGGGAGGAATAAGGGACTGAGTTCTAGAACCGGGTGTCAGCTAAAGATAAGAAATTGCCTGTGAGAAAACACCTTCCCCTAGACCAGAGCAGAGTGAATAGTCCCTTACTGGCAACCTGGGGCATAGGGTCACAGACATATAGGGAGAAGCAAAAGAGCAGTGAGAAGCTCAAGAATAGACTTCTGTGGGCACTGGAGGTGAGCAGCAGCTGAGCAAATGGCCCCAAGTGGTGTAGGGACCACTTCCTGATGGTGACATGAGAAAGTACTGGCTCCTTCCAGGTCCTCCCTATGCACATTCTGCCAAGGTAGGGAGGTCTGAGAATGGTAGACTATCCACAGTGCACAGGTGGAGTCTGTGGAAGGAGCAGAGGGGAGATATTTTTAAGCTATTGGAAGATTTTGGGAACTGGGTATGGGTGTTTCCATGAGGACAAAGGATTCTTCAGGAACCAAGAGATAATCAACAACAGATGACATCACAGTGATCTGGGAATGAGACACCACACGGGACAGAAAGAAACATTGCAAGAATATTCTCCTTGTTTTAATCCAGAGAAAGAACTTTTTGAGGAGCTGAGGTACCAAACAATTGTCCTGAAAGAAATGAGTACCCTGATGCTAGTTCTAAGTTGGCAATAGGAACACACCTATTACATGCCTTTTTTAATTCTTTTCCTTTCTTCCTTCTTCCCTCCATCCCTCCCTCCCTGCCATTTTTCACTTCATCAGTCACCCCCAGATTGAATGTAAGTCCTTAGAAGGGATTGGTAATATGCCATAATGAATTAGATCACCACAGTATTTAGCGTGATGTCTTAACCCTAGTAAGTAGGTGCTCAATAAATATTTTCTTATTTAATGATTGGCTGGGAATGTTCATGGAGAATATGAATATGAACACTTCTTTATCAGTGTCACTCTAGAAACTTAAACATCAAATACTAGCAATGCTTTTGGCTCCTTGGTTATTTATTTTAGAAACACCATATTAAGGTCCATTTTGTGGGCACCAGTTTTTGATGGCCATAGGATTCCATGCTCAGATATTTTGTTCTTAACATTTTTACTGTTTTCCTTTTTTTTTTTTTTCCTGAAGCTTGGGTAATGGTGGATACTATAAGGAGAAAGCAAGGAAGCAAACAGACAGACATGAGGTAGAAGTCAGGTTCTGGAACCCAAATATCATCCTAACAGGTTAGAACACCAAGAGCAATGAAGGAGGTTGAGCACAGCACAGCTTGATTAAGCAGGGCACAGAATCCATCAGGTGACACATGGACTCTCTGGGAAGCACCAACATGGTCAGCCAAGGAAGCTAGAAGAAAAATAATGACCTCAGAGAACAGTTATTTGTGAAAAGGCATTTTCTGAATCAGTAAGGGTGTCTTATTTTCCCTTAGCTTTACTCTGTGCATAAATTGGGGGACAGTGCAGTTCCTTCTGTTTGGGTGTGGTTCATTCTTGACTACTTCCTCTTCCTGCTGCTAAGGCTTTCTCTCACTGCCACCTGTTTCCTGCTCCTCTTAGCCCTTTTGAAGTCAGACACATGCTTAGACTTCAGAGAGCATGTATATACCAATGGCCTACCCTTCATTTCTTTCCTAACTTTGCAATGTATGGAATTCCACACGTAGAGCAATGGTTGCCAAAGCTCGGGTGAGTTTTTCCACCTAAGAAAGAGCTTTTTGGCCGGGTGCAGTGGCTGGCTCACGCCTGTAATCCCAGCACTTTGGGAGGCTGAGACAGGTGGATCACGAGGTCAGGAGATCGAGAACATCCTGGCTAATAAGGTGAAACGCCTTCTCTACTAAAAATACAAAAAATTAGCCGGGCGTGGTGGCAGGTGCCTGTAGTCCCAGCCACTAGGGTGGCTGAGGCAAGAGAATGGCGTCAACCCGGAGGCGGAGCTTGCAGTGAGCCGAGATAGTGCCACTGCACTCCAGCCTGGGTGACAGAGCGAGACTGTGTCTCAAAAAAAACAAAACAAAACAAAAAAGAGCTTTTCAAGGGATGGGCCTTGGTTCAGAATTCCTGGTGGACCAAAATGTTGATTCTCTCAGTTCTAGGGAAGACTGGAGCCCCTGGGCTGATCTCCAGGGGAATGTTGGGAATCATTCATCTAAAGGTTTACCTTAGAAGCAGCAGCTTCAGGAAACCATATCCACAAAACTTGAGTTTTCTTCAAGAATGAAGAAGAAAAACACCAAGCAACCCTCTATTTCAGAACCTCAGGAATCATCTGAGAAGCATTGTTTGCTCAGGAGTCAGACTGAGATTACATAAATCAACAATTATCCTTCTGTTATTTGTGAACTATTTATAACCCCCCTAAGTGGCCATGGTTTGCCTGCCTCTGTGCTTTTGGACTGGCTACTCTGCTTCCTAGAATGCCTTTGCTTCCAGGAATGACCTAGCAAAGGCCTAACTCATCTTCCCACACCCAGCTCAAAATCACTTTCTTTGTGAAGCCTTTCATGATTTCCCCCAGCAAAGGCGGAATCTGCCTGTGGGGTTCCATCAGATTACTTTCTCAATTACTCTTTTAGTGCTTAATTAAATAATTTTTAAAATAATTACCACATGTCAGGAACTCTGTGAAGAACTGGGGAAAACAATAATGAAATGAGACAGACCTTGTGGCCAAGATTCTTTGAATCTGTCTCTGATCACATTGGTGAGACTGTACTTATATATTTGTTCCGTGCATACCAGAAGCATTGTCTCTAGAGTCAGGCAGCCTAAGGTCATACCTGGCTCTGCAATTAACTATCTGTGGGACTGGGAACACTCTTGAAACTCTGTACCTCACTTTTCTTATCTGTAAAATAGGCATGTTAATAACACCTTATAGGTTGTTATGAAGAATAAATGAGTTAATGTTTGCAAAGTGCTTAGAACACTGCTTAAAATTTAGCAGGCACTCTTAAATATTACTCATTTCACCAGGCTCTTCCCTCTGGGGTAGGTTCTTGATGTTATTTTTTGTGTATTTCAAGCATTTGATGTAGTATGTAGTGTACAGTAAATGCTTAATAAATATTTGTTGAATAAATGAACCATTATATAACAGATTGGTTTTAAAAAGAAAAGATTCTAATTCTTACATCTCTTCTAAGGCAGGGAATTCACTATTTGCTCCCTTAAGACATTCAGCTTGGATAGCCATGCATGAAACCATATTAAGCCTGGAGAATTTCTACCCACTCTGGGGGCTGCTATTGATTTTACCTACTGAAATATTTTGACTCCTTCATAAAATGAAAGATTATTCACAAACAAAACAGGGAAACAGTCTTTAAATGCTTATATCTGCAATTTGCATGTGATTTAACATTTTCCCTTTTGCATAGGAGTGAAAAATATCTCTGTGTTTTAGATGGGAGGAAAAAATGGCTCCAAATCGACTGGTTATTTGGTCTATAGTCATTTCAGAAGATGTATAGGAAACAGAAAATAATTTTGTAAACTGATTTTGCTTGGAAACAGCAGAGGATCAGATTTCTTCCCTGGATCAGTCAGAAACCAAGATTTTTTGTAACAGGGTTTGCTGTGATGGAATTTGTCAGTTAACTGGGTCAAACATTTAGAGTAAATCATCTTTCGCTCTGCCTAATGATTACAGTAGTCCTCCCTCATCCACGGTTTGTTTTGCTTTCCACAGTTTCAGTTACCCATGGTCAATGGTGATTTGAAAATAGGTGAGTACAGTACAGTAAGATATCTTGAGAGAGAAAGAGAAAGGAAAGAGAACACATCTACATAACATATTGCAGTATATTGTTATAATTCTATTTTATTTTAGTAGTTAATCTCTTACTGTGCCTTATTTATAAATTAAACCTTATTATAGGTACATATGTATAGGAAAAAACATCATATATGTAGAGTTTGATACTATGGATAGCTTCAGGCATCCACTGGGATTCTTGGAATGCATCTCCCGTGAATAAGGTGGGGGCCACTGTGCTTGAGTAAACTAAGTCAACTGTACTATTTTGGAATGGGAAGAGAATTTTGGTATGATGAGGGCAATGCTACACTTTGCAAGGACCTAGGAGCTGTCTCTTCTGTTTACTCGGTAATTTATCCCTACTGGAATGAAAGTCTTTTGATAATAGAGTATAAGCCTGACACTCTTCCAAGTCTTGAGAAGGGCCTGGCTCTTCCCCAAGACTCACATAGAACGCAACATAAGAACTAACGTAGACTTAGTGCTTCCTGTTCCCATGCTACCAGTTATTTAGCACCTATCATGTATCAGGTCCCTTATGTGCATGGTCTCACTTAGTCCCCATAACAGTGGCACATAATATTAAGAGTACTAATTATAGTCTCTGTGGCTTTTCACATTCATGCTTTATGTTCTCACATGTGTAACAGTTCAGTCACATGTTTTGAGGGTGGCCTTCCACATAGTGATTCAGAGATCCAGTCTCCTTCCATCAAGTGGCTCTGGCCTCCTTTAGGACCTCAGAATGCTCCACTGGATCCTCCTCATCCACTGGAAAACCAGAGAAGAGTGTAATGGAATGAACTGTGATATGGTTTGGTTCTGTGTCCCCACCTGAATCTCATTTAAATTGTAATCCCCAGTGTTGGAGATGAGGCTGGTGGGAGAGGTGATTGGATCATAGGGGTGGTTTCTAATGTTTAGTACCATCCCCCCCCCAGTGCTTTCTTGTGATAGAGTTCTCATGAGATCTGGTTGTTTAAAAGTGTGTGGCACCATTCCCTTTGCTCTCTCTCTTTCCTGCTGGCCATGTGAATATGTGCCTGCTTCCCCTTTGCCTTCCACCATGATTGTAAGTTTCCTAAGGCCTCCCGAGAAGCAGAAGCCTGTGCAGCCCACAGAGGCATGAGCAGATTAAATGTCCCCCCCCAAAAGATATATTTAGTCCTAATCCTGTGTACCTGCGAATGTTACCTCACATGAAAGTAGGGTTCTTGCAAATATAATAAAGATATAGATGAAGATGAGGTCATATAAATTAGGATAGTGCCTGTATTCAATGACTGACACCTTTACATGGAGAGAGATTTGGAGAGACAGAGAAGGTGTAGGAAAGAAGGCCATGTGATGATGGAAGCAGAGATTGGAGTGATGCAGCTACAATCAAAGAACACAGGATTGCTGGAAGCCACTGAAAGCTAAGGGAGAGATTCTCCCTCATAGCCTCCAGGAAGAGCCAACTCTGTTGACACCTTGATTTCAAACGTCAAGCCTCCATAGCTGTGAGAGAGTAAGTGCCTATTTTACCACCTGGTTTGTAGTAATTGTCAAGTGACGGCCCTGGGAAGCTAATACAAAAAAGCAGAGTGGGAAGAAGTCTTCATCACTAAATTCTTTCAGACCTGAAAGATGTTGCACCACTGCCTTCTGTTTGATTCCAAAGAAATCTGCTGTCATTCTTAGTTTTGTAATTTTGTACATAATGTGTATGTTCTCTGGTTGCTTTAAGATGTTGTTTTTATCACTGGTTTTAGGCTATTTGATTATAACATGCTTTAATGTGTTTTTAAATGTTTCTTGTGCTTGGAATTTATTGAGGTTCTTAGATATGTGTGTTTATCATTTTTACCAAATTTGGCCGTTTAAAGTTGTCCCACAGTTTACTGATGCTCTTATTTTTTTCAGTTTTTAGTCTTTTATTTTCCTCTGTGTTTGATTTTGAATAGTTTTGATTGCTGTTTCTTCAATTTCACTAAATATTTTTTTTCCAAGAACCCATCTAATCTTCCATTAGTCCCATCCAGAGTATTTTTTATCTCGGACATTGTAATTTTCATCTCTAGAAGTTCAATTTTCATATTTTGTACTCTTCATGTCCTTCCTGTAGATACTTTTTTTTTTTTTTTTTCTCGAAATGGAGTTTCACTCTTGTTGCCCAGGCTGGAGTGCAGTGGTGCAATCTCGGCTCACTGCAACCTCCGCCTCTTAGGTTTAAGTGATTCTCCTGCCTCAGCTGGGATTATAGTGTGTCCTGTAGATTCTTAACACATGAAATATAGTCAGTATGTCTGTTGTAATGTCCTTATCTAATTCTATGATCGGTGTCGTTTCTAGATCATTTCTCTTGGCTGACCTTTGAATTTTCTCTTCATTATGGATTGCATTTTCCTGCTTCTTTGCATGGCTGGTAATTTCTGATGTATGCTACACACTGTTGGGTGTCATTAGCTTGTTGAGTGCTGGATATTTTTATATTTCTATATGTATTTTTTATTTTTTTCCCAAGGACATGGTGAAGTTACTTAGAAACACTTCTATCCTTTCAGGTCTTTATTTTAAGCTGTATTGGGTGGAACCAGAGCAACATTTAGAAACGCCGGAAAAGCATAATTTTTCCCAATAAATAAGGGAGGTGTTTCCTAGTATTCGGATGCCCTTTGACTTAAGAAGTTTTTCACTTTAACCGTTGGAAACAGGTACTGTTCCTTACCTTCAATGAGATACAGTTGTATTCCTGCTGATCCTTTCAGGTGGTTCTTTCCCTGGGCTTATGCAATTTTTTTTCACATATAAGCCCTGATCAGTTTTTAGCTGAATAGTTGATGGTTGATGGAGGCTTTCTGCAGGTATCTGGAGTTTTATCTTTCTTTAGCTCTCTTTTCCTTTGTTCTTCCCTGCAATCTCCAGGCACTTTAGCTTTTGCAGATACCTGACTGTCTTGTTCTTTCTCCTCAACTAAGAAGTCTGAAAAACCTGTGTTTTCCCTCCCTGTGCTGTGGCCTGGAAACTTCTTCCAGGCAGTAAACTGGGGCAATTTTAGCACTCACCCCCTTGCTTCCTATCTTAGGGAACACTGGCCTTTGTTGACTAATGTTCACTGTCTTGAATGATGTTGGCTCATATTTTGTCTGGTTTTTAGTTTTTTTAAATGAGAGATTGATCTGGTCCTGTTTCTCCATTTTGGCTGAAACATTGTGGTGGATTAATTAGGGCCAGAAATTCTTGACAGTCTTCCCATTGAGAAGTATGGTCTATGTCTCCTGACCTTATGTTCAGACAGGTTCTGAGACTGCTTTGACCAACAGAATACAACAGAATTAGCACTATGTTAGTTTCCTAGACTTTAAGAGATTGTCAGTCTCCTTTCCCTGCCTTGTAGGGCACTTTCTCTTGGAACCCTGCCATCAGGGCACAAGGAAGCCCATCACTCTATAGAGAATCTGATGTGGAGAAAAACAGAGGCCTGGCTGACAGCTCCAGCTGAATCCTAGTTGACAACCAGCACCAACGTACCAGCCATGTGAGCGAGCGATCTTCGAAGTGGATCGTCTAGCCCTAGTCAAGCTGTCCCAGCAGATGCCACATGGAAAAGAGACAAGCTGTCCCTTTAAGCCCTGCCTGAATTGCAGATTCATGAGCAGAATAAATGACTTTTACTGTTTTAAGTAGCTAAGTTTTGAGGTGGTTTGTTATACAGCAATAGGTACCTGGAACACCCACTTTTAACAGGCAAGAGCTCATCATTTGGCCCATGCGTTGAAAGTGGGTTGGGGAATGTCATATAACAGCATGCTTTCAAAGACAAAAATGTGGATTTGCTGGGCATATACTATTATCTTCTCCATTTATGGTGTAGGTTTATATCCATATTGGACATTCTGGGAAACTAAGACTTAGAGATTAAATAATATGTCCAAGGCCATGGCAAGTAGTTGCAAGTGTCAAGATTGTGACGATTTTGAACTTGGCTTTCTTTTATCTTTAAACCTGAACTCTTGGCCGGGCATGGTGGCTCACACCTGTAGTCCTTGCACTTTGGGAGACAGAGGCAGGGGGGTCACTTGAGCCCAGCAGTTTGAGACCAGCCTGGACAACATAGTGAGACCCCATTTCTACAAAAAATACAAAAATTAGCTGGGTGTGGTGGTAGGCACCTGTGGTCCTAGCTATTTAAGAGGCTAAGGTGGGAGGATCTCTTGAGCCTGGGAGACCGAGGCTGCAGTGAGCCATCATCACGCCATTGCACCCCATCCTAGGGGATAGAGTGAGAGTATATCTTCAAAAAATAAAAAGTAAAAAATTAAAAAGGAAATAAACCTGAATGGTTTCTTCCATATCCTTCCCTGTAGACTTCATCCATCTGAGTGGCTAGAGCCCTGCCCCAATTCCTAGCCTTCCTTGTACATTCATAAATTGCTTTTCTTTTTCTGTATTTGCCTATTCTGCTAGAGCAGCTATGACAAATCAGTAGGGCTAGTCTACATGGTTGGGGCTAATAGAAGGAGACTGTGAAATAAAGTGGAGAACCCTCCAATAGGGGCACATGTGAAACTGAGAGTCATGTGGGAAAACAAGTCCCCAGATCTAGGGAGAAGAGCCTGAATATGTCACCAGAATATAAAAATCTAAAGTTGTGACCACATTTAGTGAATCTGAGTCTCCAACTGCAGAGAGTAAGGAGCACATCTGGGGTGGTCTTGGAGTGATCTCCAAGATCTAACAGCACTGTGACTGGCTGTTATAGGCAGGCTGAAGTAGGACTCAGGGCTGGCCCATATGTATTTGAAATCTCAGGGCTGGGACTGGCATTTGCTGTGCTGCAAGGGATTTTTCTTGGGCTGGTGGAGATTTAAAAGGAGATCTCATGCTATAGCTTATTGCCTTTGACTCTGTGATGATTAGTTTTATGTGTCAACTTGGCTAGGCTATAGTAACAGTTATTTCATCTTCACCTAATCTAGGTGTTGCTGTGAAGATATTTTGTTGATGTGGTAAACATCTACACTCAGTTGACTTTATGTAAAGAAGATTATCCTCAATAATGTGCACACCCTCATCCAATCAGTTGAAAGGCCTTAGGAGCAAAATAGTTTTCCCTGATGAATGAATGAGAAATTTTGCCTCATGACGCTGCGTCAGATGCTGCCTGAAATTTTCTAGCCTGCCAGCCTGTCATACAGATTTGGGGCTTACTAGTCCCCACAATTATGTAAGTCAATTCCTTGAAATTATCTCTCCATCCGTCGACCTTTTACTGGCCTCTGATTCGCTGGGGAGCCCTGACTGGTACAGACTCTGAGGGACACAGGGAGCACAGGCAAATTACCATTCCAGTGATGCACTTGAGTGCTTTGGCTGTATTCTCTGGTGTTTTAGCAATAGCATTAGGACTGTTACAAATATTCAGAGAAGACCAAATGCCACCACCAACTTGACCTGTCTTGGTGGCATCAGTTATACCCTTGAAAGAGAAAAGTGAGTTTTCCCATGCCCTAATCTCGATTGCTCAGCAAATCAATGCATGCTCATCTTGGAAAGCTGACTTACTGCCCTAAACACCCAGGATCATCTTAGGTGGCACTGTGGCCTCTCATATTAAACATTTACCCTTAAACTGAAGTTCAAGTGCTGTGGGGACCAGAGCTTCTTTAAGGAATTTCTCCAATAGGCAGTTATCTACACTGCACACCAGGGCTAGGCAATGCTCATTGGAAGGCAGCGATTTAAACTCTATGCACACATGAGTGGTCTCCGAATTAACTGCAATGTCTGTGTTAAAAAGAGAGAAAGAGGCAAAAAGAGATCTACAGCTAGTGTCATTATGGGCAGCTCAATGAAGACATCTGCTGCATGCCTAGTGGCGTTCAGATAAGACCCATGACTGTGTGAAGGGGATGGAGAATGAGATGCGGAAATATTATCATGCCATCCTATAAATCAGTGGTACATCCTCACTTTGAATACAGCAGTCAGGGCCAGCTGTCTTATCTCAACGAGGATATAAATGAAAGGGTGAAAGGCCAGTGAAGGGCAGTGGAGTTGATTAGAGACATTGGAGGTGAGGTGGGGCAGGAGGTGACAGGGTGGATTTTGCTGGCAGAGAAAACACCAATGATTAGAGCTGTATATTACAGAGTCATGTGGAGTGGTGAGAGACCAGGTGGAGGTAAATGAAGTAATAAAGGGCTCCCCAAAGGCCAAGTGGGTGTTCCTATTTATCCTGCCTCATGAAATTAAATGGCAACAGATTGGAAATGGATGAAAGGACGTCTCTCTTAATGCATAAGGTGCCTGGTTTTCAATTGCATGTCTGTGAGGCTGCCTGGCCTATTGAGCATGCTAGGGAGTTGAGGCTGGGAGGGAGGAAGCACTGTTTCTGGTGAGGTGGGTGTGTTTGGCCTGCTTGCTTCTCCTGTCCAAGCCTCTGGTGCGTCTATGACATGGAGGGGTGGGGCCCCATTTTTTCAGGTCCTTCCAACTCTGAAGATTTCTGATTCTTTTCCCTGGAATCGCTTCCTTCCATCCTCTGCTCCCCCTGCTGGGAAAGTAAAGGAAGGCAGGCTGGGAAATGGGATAGCAGAAGCACAGTGGTTTCCTGGGCTTTCATAGCACTGGGTTGCAGAAGCCTGGGATGTTGATGAAAAGGACTGTTTCAAGATGTAAATGAAAGGCTCTCTTAGATAAACGAAAGCATCTTTTTAAGTCCCAGAGTAATCCCAGCTCACACTTTCCAGTTTCTTTGACTTAAGAAAATTACCAAATTTCTTATCTTCCTTGAACCTCAGTTTCTTTCTCATTGAAGAGGGGGTGATATGATTACCTCCTTCATAGATTATGCATTGAAGGCACTTAGTCACACAAGCAATGTTTAGTAAATGAAATCTATCATTGAATCTATTAAAAAGTTGGCATAAACCCGTAAGTGATTTGACAAATCAAACTAGTAATTTGTGGCAGATTCAAGATTCAAATGCATGCCCATCATCATGTGAAGGATGTGTTTTCCCTACTGAATTACATTGCTTTTAGTTGAGGGAAAAAGCTGCTTGGAGTCTAAGGCAGGGTTTGATTAATGCCATATGTGTAAGGCAGATAAGCACCATGAGAGGTCAGGGAGGGGAAATGCTCATAGAGTGGGCTGGGGTGGTCCTTGAGAACTTCCTGGAGAAGGGGTCATTTGAATAGGGACTTAGTGAAATGGAAGACTAAAGTGGAGGTTAAGGGGCATTCACAGCAGAAGAATCTCTTCATGCCATTCAGAGAGGCCAACTTGAGTCCAGGAAACACACCTACCTTATGGAAGTCAAGAGTTCTCATAAGGTGATGGTGATGAGGATGGAAGATGGTAATTCCAAAGGGCTCTGAAAGGCAGGCTCAGTTTGAAATGTCTCCTAAGGAAAGTGAGGAGCCATCAAAGGGTTGTAAACTAGAGTGCAGCACAATCTTCTCAACACGACCAAGATATGTTTGAGAAGATAAATGCAGCAGCTGTGTTCAGGATAGAGAAAAGAGAATCTGGAACTGTCAGATAGCTGGGCGTGGCCGCCGTCTGGGCCATAAATTTGTGTGGCAGGATAAGGGTAGTGACAGGGGGAATCAAGGCAGGCACGGGGGAGTGTGGCCTAGAAGAGAGATCAGGTGGCAGCAATTACCAAGTACTTGTTGTGTGCCAGGCCCTCTTCCAGTCACTCAGTGGATTTGCACTACCACCTGTGAGGTGGGCATGCTGATGCTGTGTGTGGCTTTGGAGCAGACAGACCTGGAATTGCATCCCTGCTTCAATTACAAGGACTTCCTGCAGGAGTGACTGGGCCAGTTGGCACCCCAAATGTCAGTTTTGTCCTCTTTTAAATGGGGTAATATGATCTATCCTGCAAAGTTGTTTTGAGGGTAAAAGATAATGTGTGAAAAACACCTAATAGCGAGAGCTTGTCTTGGAGAAAGCACGTGCAAAATGGACACTCCTGTCGGCATCTTTACTTCTAAAAGACTGCTTGAAAGAATTTTTGGCCTGGATGTGTGTGGGTGGCATGAAACTTAAAGGGTCAAAGATGGCTGTAGAATTCCAAGTGTCAGAGCCTGAGAAAATGCTGTTTCCAGTGACAGAAAGAGGGAAATTGGTTTTGAAGGAAATATGATAGACTTGGTTTGATTTTGAGGTGATGGCTGGGTATTCAAGCAGAAAAGCTTGACAGCCCATTGGAAGCATAAAGCCAGACCTCTGCAAGACACCAAAATTCTAGAGGAAAATTGAGCAATTTATCAAGTGTCTAAATATCTTGCCCACACAATGACAAATATCCAGATTTTTGGAATGCTTTTGACCTGGATTTAAATGTCAACTTTTTATCTCAATACTTGGTTGTGTTTTAGTGCTGACAAAGACCTCTTGTTTTCTTCCAGATTATGAACCCATTAATTTTGCCAAGATCCACATGGCCCAAATCGCCATCTATTTCTTTGCTCTTTGGCAGGAGACTAGAAAAGGGTTAAACAAGTTTATTTCTCTTTTAGCTCTCGGCTCTGATTCTTTATTATTCACACCTCAGCAAATCTTGTTTCATTACATTTTTGGAATTGCAATGTAATTTTGGTGATTAACTTTAAATTGGGGATAATACCCTGACAGGCATTAACGTAATGTCAAAACATTTTCTTATAATTATTTCTTAACCTTCGTCAAATCACTCTTCCCCTGTGGACCTTTAGTAATATAATATGGACAACACACCAGAACTCAAAGATGTAGAAAGGAAAAGTGATGACCAGGAACACTTATCAGAAATGATCAAGGCTAGTAAAAGACGGTGAAGCAGAGCCCTGTATTCTCACATTTCCCTGTCTCGGAGCGGAAGTGAAGAGATGAGTGCTGGAAGTGGCTCCTGGGATGTTTGGGTTAGAATGTGGCTGGTAGGAGTTTTGTTCCCATTGTCACATCTGTTACCATTACCCAAATGGAGCATGCATTCTGGTGAAAAACGAAAACAGCTTGGAAGGCCAAAAATAGTAGCTCAGCTCCACATGGAGAGACTTAGGAACCAGACAGCGCCTGCTAGAAGCAGAAGTGGAAATAATACCGTATAAAGTGAGAGAGCCTGAAGAGTTTTCAAAACATTTTCACTCATATTATCTACTTTGAGAATCCCAGCCACTTTGTGAAAGTAGACAAAGTCAATGTGGATCAGCCTCATTTTATGAAAAAGTAGACATTTTCAGCGACTTGCTTCAAACAATACAGTGAATGTGAAGCAGCAGCGTGTAGTAGCTTTGCTTTGGAGTCTGGGAGAAATGAGTTCAAATACAGCCTGGTTCCACCATTTACTAGCTCTGTGGACTGGGAAAGTAGCTTAATTTCCCAGAGCTTCGGTTTCTTCATTCATAACTTGAAGATAATAGTAGGACCTTTCTCATAGAGTGAAATTTACATAGAAAATTCTCAATAATTGGTAGTTATAATAACTGCCCAAGGGGTTTATCTTGCCCAATGCCTAGACAGAGGCGATTCATCAAGACAGGGGAATTGCAGTACAGAAAGAGTAATTCACGCAGAGCCGGCTGTGCAGGAGACTGGAGTTTTGTTATCATTCAAATCAGTCTCCCCGAGCATTCGGGGAACAGAGTTTTTATGGATAACTTGGTGGGTGGGGGGACAGCAGTGAGCCAGGAGTGCTGATTGGTCAGAGATGAAATCATAGGGAGTTGCAGCTGTCTTATGCTGAGTCAGTTCCTGTGTGGGGGCCACAAGATCAGGTGAGTCAGTTTACCCATCTGGGTGGTGCCAGCTGATCCATCAAGTGCAGGGCCTGCAAAATATCTCAAGCATTGATCTTAGGAGCAGTTTAGGGAGGGTCAAAATCTTGTAGCCTCCAGCTGCATGACTCCTAAACCATAATTTCTAATCTTGTGGCTAATGTTAGTCCTACAAAGGCAATCTAGTCCCCAGGCAAGAAGGGCGTCTGCTTTGGGAAAGGGCTGTTACAGTCTTTGTTTAAACTATAAACTAAGTTTCTCTGAAAAGTTGGTTCACCCCATGCTCAGGAATGAACAAGGACAGCTTGGAGGTTAAAAGCAAGATGGAGTCAGTTAAGTTAGATCTTTTTCACTGTCTCAGTCATAATTTAGTGAAGAAAGTTTCAATTCTTCCCTTTGAGTTTTATAACACCTTAATCTTAAGGTGTAGGCTATGAAGATGGGAAAAGGCCGTTGATTACTCTGGCTTCTTCTGCTGACGGGACATAGTGGGAATGGGAGTGAACCCCAAGGTGAGAAGAATGGGACCGCTTTGCAACTGTCTGAGTGTGCTCACGCCAACATGGCTTGGCTTTCAAGGCTTGCGTGGTAAACACGTTAGTACTTTCAGCTATAGTTTTAGTACAGTATTTACGTGAACAGCATACTGTAAGGTAAATAAGTCCTAGAATGAGGAGTACAATTCTTAATTTTAAAAGCAAAGATTTGAAAGCATTAGTTTGAGGACTTCAAATCCAGAAAGAATTTAATCTAAACCACAGAAAAAAAAAAAACCTTACGAACAGCTAACAAGAGTGTACTATGGTTTTTTTTTTTTTGGTTAGCATATTTTTTTCTCTCCAGTTCCTATTTAAAAAAAATGATAGAACTGATTTGATTACAAAATAAACTTTAGTCTTATTGTACTTGCCTGATTGTTTGTATAAAGTAAGCAGGAATAATTATTTTTCATATTTAATTGGCTTTGTTGGAACTCTGTTCCGCAGGGAATCTCAGACAAGACTTTTTAAAAGCTGAGCCCAGCCATGGGTCTGTACCCTTAAATTACCTATGAGTTGGGTAAATTTCTCTCCTCTTGAGGTCCCAAGATAACTTGGGGCTCCTGGACCTGTTAGAAAGTGACATGCTTTACTTACCACAGGTCAGGAACCTTGTACAGGGACTCTGTGTGGACAAGGTATGAGGCCAGATTTCCTAAGAGGCTTTAATTGGCTCTATAAGTCAACTTCGATTCTTTAAATAAAGCATGCCATTCTAGTCAAAGCCTTGGTAAAATAACCAATTTTTCTAATTGTGTCGTGTTACAAAAGAAAACAGATTCTTATTGCACTTATGCAATTAACTATACCACTATAAATTGAGAATACTAACAAATAGTTTCCAAATTCTGGAGAAATTAGGTAGAGAGAAACAAATATGCTCCAAAAATCTTTTTCACAGCAACATAGTTTACTCATTAAAAGTTGCAAATAGCTCTAAAGAAATAAGTTATCTTGACTCTGAAAACAAAAGGATTAGCAATGTTTAACACATCGGCTCTCCATGAGAGTCCTGGAAGTTTCGTTTCTTCTCTATTCCAATAGCACAACTTTTAAAGTTATCTGAGACTTGGACTTAGACTCCTATATCTGATTATAAACTGCCTTTTGAAAAGGATCAAAGCAAGACAAAACGTCTGTGGATGACAGATGTCTATTGTCACTATTAAAGCTACAATTGACAGGAATTTTGGTTACCTCTGTGGCATACAACAATTTTACATAACAATTATAATTAACAATAATGTATACTAAATCATATTAGAATTATAGAAGTGTCCCATAATTTTTTGAACACATTAATAACATATTTATACAAATACTCCAATGAAAACCAAACACCATTTACTTTTATATTTGAAAGTTTTTCCTCTATTCTAATGTCACAATCTCTAGAGTTACTAATCAGAATTTTGCCCTTGAGAATACCTGTTAAATTTTACAACTGATTATGAAACTTTTTTTTTTTTGACATGGAGTTTTGCTCTATCACCCAGACTGGAGTGCAGTGGCGCAATCTCAGCTCACTGAAACCTTTGTCTCCCGGGTGCAAGTGATTGTCCTGACTCAGCCTCCTGAGTAGCTGGGATTATAGGCACACACCACCACGCCCAGCTAATTTTTGTATTTTTAGTAGAGACGGGGTTTCACCATGTTGGTCAGGCTGGTCTCAAACTCCTGACCTCGTGATCCGCTCGCCTTGGGCTCCCAAAGTGAGACAACAGTTGCCTGTGGATAACAAAAATATTTTAGGGCAGCCACAGTTAAAGACATGATTGACAAGGAAATTTGTTACCTCTGTGGCACACAGCCATTTAACATAATTATAATTATTACTGATGATATATGCTAAGTCATATTAGAATTATAGGAGTTTTATGTAATTTTGGAACATATACCTATAATACATTTATATAAATACAGTCCAAAGAAAGCCAAATACCATTTCATATTTGACAATGTTTCCTCTATGATTTTTATACAAAATAAGCCAAATGTCATTTTTGGACTTAAAAGGACCTAATACTTAAAAGATTAGGCTAGAAAGAGACATAATTTATAATTTGATTTTGGAAAGTTTGTCAAATATCAAAGGTTTAAAACACTGGATGTCACAAAATAGAATCCCAGGTCACCAGCAGTCATTCATTTGGCCAAAATAACTTTAAAAATTTAAAAAAGAAAACCTTTACTCTGATAGAGGAAACTTAGCTTTCCAAACAAGACCCAATAAAGATAGCATGAAGCTAACTCAATTTGTCTTTTCTTTTTCCTCTCTTTATCCCCTGCCACGTACCCAAAGGAGAAAGCAAGACCCTGTCATTATCTTTTAAAATTACATAAAAATCTTCAAGAGAGAACCAAATTTCATGTTTGCATTAGTGTATCTTTAATGTTAAAACTAGTTTTTTAAATAAAATTTTATATCTCTATCCACCTTTAATTAGTTGGACCATAAGTTAAGATTTTCATAAACTTTTTAGAACCTTTTATAATTTTCCATTAAACAGCAGATCAATTTTCTAAGAAAACCCTGTTTTTCGAAAACCTGGGCCCAGATTTTGGCCCCACATCAGTATGACTTTAATGTTTTAACCTATGGAAAAAACATAAATAATTTCTTTTCCAGTCTTAGCCAACTTGTTTATACCCACAGATTTTTTTGTTATAAGATCAACCCTTTATAAACCCTTTTTACTTTGCTTAAACCTTTAGTTTTGTTCCATTACTCTTCTAGGTTAGGACAATCTTTAAAACCTTCTGAACTAGACAAAATTACATTCCCTTTAACAAAAGCCATAATCCCATGACTTCTTATAATCTTTTACCAAAAACACATTACCTATGCACCTTGTATGTAAAACTGTTTCTCCAGTAATCTTAATTTCCTGTTATAATGTTAACTCTTAGCAATTTTTATTTTTAGTGAAAAACCTGGTAAATAAGCAGTTTTAATTATGTACTGGGGTGGAGCCTCGAACATTAGACAGAAATGAAGAAAAGGTCTCTTTTCAGCATAGCTAGGGGCATGGCTCTTCACATGTTCTCAGGCCTCTTCCATAATCTAATGCTCTAAAGTAGGTAAATTGAACAATTTTCAAAAGTCAAGGAAACAGTTTGACCTTAAAGTATTTAACAAATCTGATATCTGACCTTACACCAAATTGTTTACATTTTCACAACATTTTACCAATAATTTTTAAAACTGTCTTTATTTTTGAAAGATTATTAGTCACATGAACAAAAAGGCATTAAACTTTTGATTTTTCTGACAAAATATTTAAGTGCTTATTTTTCTAAGTGAATTAATCAGAGCTCTTTTATATATAAACATACAACACATGTAAATACACAGACAGAAGATTCAGCACTTGTAAGATTTTTCATTTGGCAGATTTCTTAATTGGATTACTGGCTTCAGGGTGGAGCCCTTGGAAGAACAGGGCCAGAAAAGCGTGTGTTTCTAGGGCCTAATCACACTTGAAGGCAAAGACAGATCCCCAAAATTAAGGGTGTCATTTTATACTGGATCCTGGATCCCCAAAAGGAGGGAAATACTTCAGGAGAAGACAGTGCCATGCTTTTACCGAATGTGCATTTCATTGCAAGGCAACCCAAAGCCAATCAGCCCATATTGTAATTAGACCGTCCCCCAGGGGAGTCTTATTTTTCAGTGAGGGGTGGGGATGTTTCCATATCTTCCAGATGGCCACAAGAGCATGCCTGTCTAATCCAAGTGTGCAGAGTCAAGTATTCCTCCATAACTACTATTAGGCATCCCCTAAAGTATATTTCCTACCTAGTTATTACCAAAGCTCTCTTATAATGAGAAGTAATTTCTGATACCCCTAAAACTCAAAACCATCAGATAACGCAAAACAGAACAGAGCCTTATATTTTGAGAGGGATCAAAACTTGGCCGGTAAGAATTCCTTACCTTTTTGCTGGCATAGCAGGTGTCTGGGTTCCCTTCTCTGCAGCTTCCAGAAGAACAAAGTGGCTTCTTGATGACCCTGCTCACTTGTGCTATAGCTGTGGGGTTCCAGCCACTGTAAAAGAGAAAATTACCCTTTACTGTTTTATGGAATAATAGAAAAGATTCTCAATTTGCGAGATGCTGCCCAACGGGTTGCATGGGGAACCGAATTAACACTTTCCATTTCAGCAAAATACACATAACAAAACAGACATTAGTTAATTCGTTCAGCACCCAATATTAACCTGGCAAAGCTCAAACTTTTTCTTCTTGGTCCCTGTTGTCTTTTGATCCACTCCAGATGGAAGGGACAACCTCCAAATGGTAATTCGGAGGTCTCAGGGCAAAGGGAAGACCAGATAGTCACCCCAAGAGACAGGCCTGTTGAGCCTTCTTTAGGGCTCATCGAATGTGACCAGACAAATGAGGAGGGTTCTCTGAGTTAGGCCTGCTGGACTTCCATCAGCAACCCCTTCTGAGATCCCTTCCACGTATACAAACACACACAAAGATGAGATGGACAGAAGGCCTTCCAAATCAGATCCCTAACCAAGAACTCCAGGAGTATCTCTTACATACTATCCTCTTGCTTTCCGACTGAGAAACTTCCTTGAAATCTTCCTGATTGAGGAGAAGTTTCACACACTAACACTCTTCCTACTAGTTAGAAGGAGCCAACCAAGACCCCCGCAGGAGGTGAACAGACACCCTGCAATGGGGCTACAGATGCAGACACCCCATGGTGGAGCTACAAACAGACACTCCGCAATAGGGCTGCAGACACCACACCATAGGGCTACAGAACCAGTCTGGAGAAGGAAGGAGGCATTGGCAGCATCTAGGATGCTCACCAATCCAGACACCCTGCAGTGGGGCTACAGACGGTCATCCTATGATAGGACTATAGTTAAGGGACGTCTCCCCATAACTATTTCTCCATTGCAATTAAATCCACGCACATTGGGTCAGCAGCACCCTGCCAGTTGAGAGGGTACCAGAGCCAGCCCGAGCCGGATGGATCCACCTGGCTTCTGGATCTGTCATTGGAGGAGGGCCACTAGCCATGGGCAGGTAGCCACAAGGACAATCCCACACGAGCCCCCAGATTTGTAACTATCCACGGTGTTTACCTTGCCTGCTGCCTAGAAAGAGCCGATTCATCAAGACAGGAGTATTGCAATAGAGAAAAGGTAATCACACAGAGCCAGCTGTGCAGGAGACCGGAGTTTTATTATTACTCAAATCAGTCTCCCTGAGCATTCAGGGAACAGTGTTTTTTTTTTTTTTTTGTTTTTTGTTTTTTTTTTGTAGATGGAGTCTCGCTCTGTTGCTCAGGCTGGAGTGCCCTGGCGCCATCTCAGTTCACTGTAACCTCTGCCTCCTGGGTTCAAGCGATTCTCCTGACTCAGCCTCCTGAGCAGCTGGGATTACAGGCACGTGCCACCACACCCGGCTAATTTTTGTATTTTTAGTAGAGATGGGGTTTCACCATGTTGGTCAGGCTGGTCTCGAACTCCTGACCTCATGATCCCCCTACCTTGGCCTCCCAAAGTGCTGGGATTACAGGCGTGAGCCACTGCGCTGGCCCAGCTGGGACCTGAGGTTTTTTTTTTTTTTTTTTTTTTTTTATGAGCCGGAGTTTTGCTCTTGTTGCCCAAGATGCAATCTTGGCTCTGCAACCTCTGCCTCCTGGGTTCAAGCGATTCTCCCGTCTCAGTCTCTCAAGTAGCTGGGATTACAGGCATGCACCACCATGCCTGGCTAATTTTTTTATGTTTTTTAGTAGAGATGGGGTTCTCCATGTTGGTCAGGCTGATCTCGAACTCTCCACCTCAGGTGAGCCGCCCACCTCGGCTCCCAAAGTGCTGGAATTACAGGTGTGAGCCATCGTGCCCCTCCTGGGAACAGAGTTTTTAAGGATAACTTGGTGGGTGGGGGGAAGCTAGTGAGCCAGGAGTGCTGATTGGTCAGGGATGAAGTCATAGGGAGTGGCAGCATTCGTCTTGTGCTAAGTCAGTTCCGGGTGGGGGCAACAAGATCAGATGAGCCAGTTTATTGATCTGGGTGGTGCCAGCTGATCCATCTAGTGCAGGGTCTGCAAAATATCTCAAGCATTGATCTTAACAGCAGTTTAAGGAGGGTCAGACTCTTGTAGCCTCCAACTGCATGACTCCTAAACCATAATTTCTAATCTTGTGGCTGTTAGTCCTACAAAGGCAATCTAGTCCCCAGGCAAGAAGGAGATCGCTTTGGGAAACAGCCTTACCATCTTTCTTTAAACTATAAACTGTGAACTCAGTTTCTCCCAAAGTTAGTTCAGCCTAAGCCCAGGAATAAACAAGGACAGCTTGGAGGTTAAAAGCAAGATGGAGTTGATTAAGTTAGATCTCTTTCACTGTCTTCGGTCATAATTTTACAAAGGCTGTTTCACTGTTAGTATTACTAGGAGAATAGTATTAAGTTAGTACAAAAGTAATTATGGCTTTTGCCATTAAAAGTAATGGCCAAAATATAATAGAATAGACTTGGAGCCAGAACTTGAACCTAGTGAGTTGTGTTTTTCCATTGTATCTGCGCCATGGGTGGTCAGACAGCAAGGAGGAAAAAGCAAGTAGGAAAGATTTAGTCACTCACAGCTGCAGTCTGAATTGAAGTCCCTAATTCTTCAGACTTAGAACCACCAAGTTGAGCCCTCTGCACAGCAGTAATTCTATGCATGACCTTCATCCTCCTTGCTAAGCCCCCCTGAGTTTAAATAAAACATTTTATCCCCAAGGGTTGCTTTCATCCAAGGGGAAATTGTTTAAGCTAAAATGTTAGTGCTAGAAAACTCTGTTTTCCAGGAAGAGAGTCTCTCAGAATATAGAAGAGGGGATTTTAAAAATGGACAGTAAAATGTAGGCTGCATTGTGCAGGTCCCATGGCAATTGACATTGAGGTGGTTTCAGCCAATGGGAGGTCCTGGAAGTTGTGTGTGGGAGGAAAGAAGAGGCAGAGAAAACAAAAATAACTCAGAGTGGTCTGAGCTTTGCGAGGTATGAAGGCCCAGAGAGCCCTGAGTATGGGACTTCGGTCATGCCTACCTCCACACCCATGCCTAGGGCAATTGTTTAGAGGAATTTCTGACTAACTGCCTCACCCATTATCTTCATGTCCTGGAATTCATAATCAAAAGAACAATGTATAACCAATCAATCATCAAAAATTCACTTGTAACTGCTGCTAATCAAAGCAATAGACAAAACAGAGGACCTTTGATATCAATAGCTTATGCTATTTTCATGTAAATTCTTGGTAAACAATTTAGGAACTACCTCTTCTTTTCCTTCAGAAATTCACTTGTAACTGCTGCTTATGGAAGTATATATTCAGAGCAATTGAATCTACGATCCTGGGTTGTAGTCCTCAAGCCTGGACCAAATAAACTCTCTATTTACATTAATGTTACCTTAGTTTCTCCCTTTTAGGTCAACACATCTGTCTTAGCAGAACTCAGTGACGCCACCAACCACTTGCTCTCTCTCTTTGAAAAGTGCACTTGGTACAAGCACAAACTCCCTGTCTTCAGAAGGCTCATTGGGTGTTTTGGGTGAGTTCTGAATTTGGACCTCACACTCTTTGGTTGAAGGCCTAGACTTTATTTGGGCTAGTTTTCTAGTTTTCAAATCTTCTTTCTTTCTTTTTTTTTTTTTTTTTAAGAGTGAGGGCTTTGGTCTCTGTATTTGGATGGGAGATTTGGGTGAAGAGCTCTGCAAAGAACTTCCTTTTTTCTACCTCTCTCACCATAGAGGTTCAGGCCAAGGTTTTTCTGCCTCTGCCTCAGCCTCAGAGGTTAGGGGTAAGGTTTTTCTGCCTCTGTCTCACAGCAGAGGTTTGAGTTAAAGGATTGGCAGTTAGGCACTGGTGGTTTCATTTTACATAGCATGGTTTTAAGATTGTAACTGTTTTCTATTGCTTGAAAATTCAGACTTAGCCTTTCATTTTGACCCATTCATGTTAGTTTCTAACTGGAAAGTGTACCCCCTTTGGCTGTTTCAGATGAGTATATGAGGGTCTAGTCCCCTATCTCTTGAACAGTCTGCTGCCACCTAGCAGTTAGAGACAGTTTGAGACACATTGCACTTCAACCCTAAACACATTCCCAGCCGCGATCACTTTGGAAAAGTTTCTAAATTATGGGAAATCAAGCTTTAAAATCTGACCACTCTTTTTAGAAACACCAGCTGTATTTATGTATAACACTTATAGCATATCCTGTTGTAAATATTTAGAAAAGTGGACCCACCTAACCTAGGACAGTCATAAGCAGCATAAGTCAAAATAGTGAGCCTCTGAAATGTCTAAAGTAATTCATCTGCATGCAGAATTGGGGAAAAAAAGCTGGCTTTAGAGCCAGAAAAACTGAATGAGAGACCTAACTTGTGTTTGTCCTGGCTGAAATCTGATAAGAATTTCAATTTTTTTTTTCTCTGACTTCTATAGTCAGAAGTCAGCCCAATTAAAAGCTGATATTTAGACTATAATTCTTTTAGAAAGCCTTTCTGCTTTTTTCTCTTTTGGATACTGTTTCTGGGATTGTCTTTTTCAGTCAACTGCAACCTCATTTGCTACTTATCTTGTTGGCATGATTTTGCTGAGAAAAATGTTCCATTGGACTTTTAGAAAGGTTAAAATCTCTCCAAATTTGCTCCTCTAAGACTTGTTCTTTCCACTTCTCACTGCAACCTCTTTCTCCTGGGTTCAAGCAATTCTCATGCTTCAGGCTCCTGAGTAGCTGGGATTACAGGTGTGTACTACCACGCCCGGCTAATTTTTGTATTTTTAGTAGAGATGCTGTTTCACCATGTTGGCCAGGCTGGTCTTGAACTCCTAGCCTCAAGTGGTCCGCCTACCTCAGCTCCCAAAGTGCTGGGATTATGGGTGTGAGCCACTGTACCCACCCCCACAGGTGTGTCTTCTGATCAGCAAAATACCTATGTATTTATAACTTTAGGGTTTCACAGCCTGTGTAAATGATTAACAAATAACTAGATGGTAAATTTTGTTCAATAAACTATTAAAGCATAATTGTTAAGAATAAATAAATGAATGTAAATGGAATAAAAGTATAAACTTTTATCATTTCAAAAGTCTTTTTCAGAAACTTAACCTTAAAGTCATGTATATTAAATAATAATCACAAAATATCTGAGCCATTTATGCAGTCTAGAAAAGCTAAATATATTTAGATCTATTAATAAAAGTTGAGAAAATACCTTTCTTAAAATTATAAAATTGTTTCATCTACAAATACTGGTATAAAACAGTTCAAAATCACCTCCTGAGTGTTGTACAGAAAGGGTTACTAAAAGTTAAAATGATAATAGATAGATAGATATAATTAAAACACTAGGTATAAGGAAAACTATATACAGAGCATGTAAAGAAAGTAAGATGTAAAAAAAGTAAAAAAGTAATTTTTTTCTTTTATATGATTGATAAGTTTGGTCAAAATGATAAGAGGAAAAGGAAAGTAATTTTTTTTCTTTAGTTAGAATGCCAGTGTAAAAAATGAAATACAGGCCTGACGCGGTAGCTCATGCCTGAAATCCCAGCACTTTGGGAGGCCGAGGTGGGCAGATCACAAGGTCAGGAGATCGAGACCATCCTGGCTAACATGGTGAAACCCCATCTCTACTAAAAATACAAAAAAATTAGCCGGGTGTGGTGGCACGCACCTGTAATCCCAGCTACTTGAGAGGCTGAGGCAGGAGAATCATTTGAACCCAGGAGGTGGAGGTTGCAGTGAGCTGAGATGGTGCCACTGCACTCCAGCCTGGGCAACAGAGTGAGACTCTATCTCAACAACAACAAAAAAAGAAAGTACAGGAAAAAAATGGGAAGTTTGAGCAAGTTGTAAAAGATTTATCTCATAAAAGGAATTTTGTCTGTGATCAAATTGGTTAACATTATAAGGGATTTACTTAGTTTTTCTAAAATTTGAGCATTATTATCAAGAGCAAATTAATGCAATGTCCCTGTGTTAGGATAACAGGATTTTTTTTGAGCATTGATCTACTCTATAATGGAAAATTGTAAGAGGTTATAAAAGGTTTCTGGAAACCCTATCTTGTGTTGTTAAAGCTGATTGAGATTGGATGAATTTGTTTTTAAGGTTTCATTAAAATTAGCTTTAGCTTTAATAATATACTGATGAAATGGTAGAATTTGGTTTGAATAAAATTTTCACATCATATTAATAAAAGATAATAAAAGATTTGTTCATCTTTTGAGTAAACTTAAAAAAAAAGGAAAAACAAATTCTGTTGGTCTTATGGTGTCTTTATAAGGCCTTTTGATTGTTTGGAAAGCTGAGCCTCCTATCAAAAAGGAAAGGTTTTACTTGTTGAAATCTTGAAGTATCATTTTGGCTAAATGAATGAGTATTATTTTACAGTGGCCTGTAGTCTTATTTTCATCAAGTGTTTTAAACATTTAATATTTAACATACTTCCCAAAATCAAGTTTCAAATTTTAAAACTAAGTCTTTTCCAAGTGGAACCCCTGTAAGTCCCAGAGAGACATATTAGGCTTATTTTGTATGCTAAAAATCATACAGGAAGCTTTGTCAAATAAGAAATGGAGCTTAACTTTTTTTTAAGTTACATTTATATGGATATGTTATTAATATGTGTTCCATAATTATATGAGATTCCTAAAATTCTGATATGTCTTGATATGTCTTGTCAGACATAATTATGGTTATGACATTAACTTTTTTTATGCCACAGAAATAGCCAGATTTCCTTGTCAACTTTGTCTTTAACTATGGCTACTCTAAGTCCTTTGTAATCCACAGAAAATTATTGTTTTACTTTAATTCTTCTCCAGATCAGTTCACAGTTGGCCACAGTCCAAATTTTGCTTTTTCTTCAAGAAAATTAATGGGAAAAGACCCTAAAAAGTACTCTTGAATACAGGTTTCTTATAACTTTAGAGATTATATAATTATCATAAGACTAGATAAAAATTTTCAGAACTCTAATAAACTGATGCATTCATAAAGATTGCTAACCCAGCCTCATGCAGAACAAAAATTAGATTACATAGGACTAAACTGCTAGAAGAGTGAAGTGACATTTATGACTTTTTTTGAAACATTGTTGATTATTTTTACATTTTCTCAGTCAAGAAAACTACTGAGCTATTTATAGTTTGTGGCAATTGGGAAAAATACACCTATGTGAGCAAAATTAAAACATTTGCCTTTCGCTCTACCTGGTTTCCCTTAGATTTGGAGACTATTCATGAGTATTCTTATTTTATGGCAATCTAGTTATTTGCATAAATTCAATAAGAATCTGTTTTCTTTAACGGGACACAATTGGAGACACTGGTTGTTTAACCAAGGAATTGACTAGAATGGCATATTTTCAGATATGACCAGACTGCTTTGAAAAATTGAGGTTAACTTTATAGAGCCAATAGAGAAAGCCCCTTAAAAAGACTTGCCTGGTACCTTGTCTACACAATTTTCTTTCAAGGTTTCTGACCTTGAAGTAAGTAAAGAATATCACTTTTTGACAGGCCTGGGTAGCTCAAGGTATTTTGGAGACTTGAGTAACATTCACCCTATTTGTACAGGTATTACAGGCATAGCATAGTCTAGTAGTGAACCTTTGCCTTGGCTTCCTAGCCTCAAGATTTTTTAAAGTTTCAGCACAGCCAACTTAAAAGAGCCTATATGGCCAATAACTATTCTTGTACTTTATGCAAATGATAAGGCTAAGTATGATACTAAAACTTATTTTGCAAGTATATTTATCCTATAAAAGTTTATCTTTGGTAAAAATGGGGACTGGAAGGAGAAAAAATTACGTTTCAGAAGAAAATTATGGTACATCTGTTATCAGACCGCAGCCCAGATCTTTGTTTTTCAGATTTTATTGTTTTCATACAATTTGGAATGAATCTCTGTTGGAATAGGTTTTTACTATGCATCTCTCATTGTTTTACTTCTGAGAAAACCAAAAGCATGAAATTCTGAAGACTGGAGATGATTCAACAAGCAATGACAGTTATATAAATCAGAGACTTGACTGAGGACTGTCGTAGCACTGAGGTATGAAGGCCTAAGCAGAGATTGGTTATCAGTGCTTCCATGGGAAGATTTTTGATTAACAGTGGGGGAAATGAGAAAAGAAAAATAGTTCAGTGCAGTTTGAGTTATGTAAACTATGCAGGTCTAGAGAGGTGTGAGCATGGGACTTCAGTTGCACCACACCTCCACACACACATGCCCATGCCTGGGGGTGATTGTTTAAAGTCATATTGTTCCTGACCAGCTGTCTCACCCATTATCTTCATGTTCCTGGAATCTGTGTTGCAGTGTATAGCCAATCAATAGCTTATGTTATTTTAATGTAAATTCTTGGTAAACCACTTAGGAATTGCTGCTTTTCCTTTTAAAAATCCACTTATAAATGCTGCTAATTGGCATGTATATTCAGGGCAGCTTGAATCTATGCTTTTGGGTTGCAATCCTTAAGCTTAGACCAAATAAACTCTTTACTTATATTAACTTTGCTTCAGTTTCTTCCTTGTAGATTGACAAAGCCAAGTTATTTCTCATTCTCTCTGCTTCTAATGACATTTCTGGCAGTTCCTCCAGCTCCCAGTGATCAGGCCCCCTGTGCCTCCAGCTTCTACCTGTTGACCCAGCTCCTGGACTCTGTACAGCCTCCATCATCTCCTCTGCCTTCATGGTAATGGGAATGGTTTCCTGCTGTTCTCAATCTCTGGGCTGCAAAGTGTGAGTTGAGTGTAAACTCTACTACTTAGTAGCTCTGATGCCCTCAGCAAGTTACTTAAATTATTTGAGCCATCCTTAGGTTTCTCATGTGTAAAATGGGAATCATACTGTTCAAACTGTAGTATTATGAAAATTATGTATGTTAATATTTACAAAGTGCCACCAACACAAAATTAGAGATACAATAAATGGTCATTGCTCTTATTGCCACCACACTCACCCCCATGACTTGCTGAATATTCGGAATGAACTCAGACCTTATGTATCCCCCTCTTCCCAGTAGCTTAGCTACATAGAATCAGTATTTCTAAGAGCAGAGTATTCCAAACTATGTTCCATGGACCACTAGCCTTGCTGATGTTGTAGTGGGGCTTCTTCAAATATAGGGGTAATAAAATGTACAGCTTTTTTATGCATTCTTAACTCTACAGGTTTTTGTTAAGCAGGATACTAGCATTCCCTGGGATACAGTTTGCAAGACACTAGAACAGTGGCCTAAGTTCTGCACTTTGGAATCGGATAGATTTGAGTTGTAATCTCTTTCCCACCACTGGTAGCTGCATGTCCTGGGGCAAGTATTTTACTGTCTTTGAGCCTCATTTTCCAGTCTGAAAAATGGCATAATTATGCTGTCTACTTTGTTGTTGTTGTGAGGTTTTAAAAAAACATTTCAGTTGAAGTACTTAATGTAGTTTCTGACCCCTATTCAATAAATTTAGTTGTTATTATCAATACAAAGAATGAAAGCCCGTTAAGAGTTTCTTAAGGCCTCAATAAATAAGTGGAAATAAACATCATGGACACTGCATTGGAGCTAGAGGCAAGAGAGAAAGTTGTAGTGATGGTGGGGTTTGGGAAAGGGAGACATGGCTTCACCAGTGATGGAGCAGCAGATTGGTCCCTGCTCATGGGCAGCCTGGGCTCTTGACTCTTTCCTTGCCCACCAGCCTGACTGCCTTTGGGCCAGCTCTCACTTTGTGCCTACACTCCATGCCCAGTCCCTCTGTGGCAGGACTGAAAGCCACTCTCCAACATGCCTTCCCTTGCCCATGCTCTACAGGGACAGGGGGTGAGCTAGGCTGAGAGCTCTGTCACCCTTTCAGGAGCTGTGTGCTCAGAGCTTCCTCGGCAGACCCAGTTTTTCACCAAATGGGCCCCTAGTTCTGGACTGGGTCAAGAAGGGGCCCAGAAAGGGGGCCAAGGAAGGAGTTCCTGTAATGCTTCTAAGTCAAAGCAGCTCAAGGCTGAATCTGAAGTTTTTTTTTTTATTTTTTTCTGGTAATAAGGTGGAAAATATTCTTTGGTCCTTGCTTAAGTCCTAAGAAAAAAGTGTTGGGATTAATTGTCACTAGCAAACTTCCAGGAGTATTCCTTTTGAAAGCCAAGAGACTCTTGGTCTGCAAACTGCATTTTCATCATGGGTAGTAATTGATCACTTTATCAGTGATTCCTGCAATCTCTAAAGCTTAATTCTGAGTTAGGAGTGTGGGATACATTTGCTGGATTTAATATAATGCTGGGCCTCCCTTTGCAAGAGGCCTATCTACCAGTCTCACCTGTGGAGAACCATTGTATTCTAATCTTGACTGCCTTCCCAAAAGGCTCCACATCACTGTGACACTGTAAATTCTGCTCCAGTATACAATTTAACCTTGTGTATTATTCAAGTTCAGGACAGTGGCTGGGCATCAAGAGCCATGGGGATTGTCTGCAGGCCCTTTGATTTTTGAACCATGAGTGGATTTGAAAACTTTCAGTTTATATAATAAAATATTAGCCTTTGGTCAAAATTGAGCTGGCCATTCTGCATGACTGACAGTTTCGTTCCTTCTGAAGAGAAGTTCTGCTTATTTTTCATTGAGGTGAATTTACCCCAACCATAACATGCCTTTATTTTTCCCTCTATGAGTACAGGCCAGTGAGAGACCACAAGCACCAAGAGTAGAGATAAGAAGGCAAAACGTAGACTCTATCAAGGGATCTCCAGGCACAAGGAGAGGGCAGGCCTAGGAATGGTTTAGCTGCATCCTGATGATATTGCTCTTTCTTGCTAATTTGTGGAGTCCAAGATTTTGGCTTCTGCTGGTGAAAGAAGGTGTTTGATTGGAAGGCAGTAGTATGGGGCTTGGCAGCAGGGGTCAGATAAGGGAGACTGAGTGGGAGGAAAACAGAGTCAATGCAAGCCTTGGGTTGGGCAGGGCAAGCCTTGGTGATGGGTTGGGCAATTGGGCAATTAACCCAAGGACATGTGGGTTCTGGTGGAGTATGGGGATAATGCTTTTATTAATTGGTAGAGTTCAGTACTTTACCTGGCAGATGGGCTTTCTAAGTTAGAGGGCAGTTTCCCAGTTGTGCTGGTATCTTTTTTAACTCATCAAAGGGGCTGCAGTAAGAATGAGTATGCCACAGAAGAGGTAAATTTGAAAGGTTAAAAATAAAGATCCGAAGAGGCCAATGAAACAGATTAATAAAGCATGTTGGCATCATATAGGGGTTTATGCAAGTGGAGTCTGTTGTTTCCAGAAATACTGAAAGACCATGCTTTCTCCATACTTAGACTATTTCCCAG